>NC_000012.12:33192455-33345150 GCF_000001405.40 Homo sapiens | reverse complement strand
ACTTCTCAGAAGAGCCAGTAAACAATACATTGGTGTCCTCAGAGATTTAATATTAAACACCCTTCTTGAAAACTGCATAAGCAAGGAAAAATAAAAGAGAATGAACAAGAGTCAAAATCAGAACTGAGATAAAAAAGAAAGTGAAGGCATAATTAACACAATGTTGGAAAGTAGGAAAATAGAAACTGCAAAAATGTGACTAAAGTTAATACATGAGAAATGTAGGGAGAACAATGTTCAGGCAATACCCTAGTGACCCATGTATAGGAGAGGGGAAGAGGGTAGAGAAGAGAATTCCCAGGCCCATGAGAACACAATAGGGGGTGCTAATGGGAGTGAGTGGCAGTTGTGAGGAACTGGATACAGGAGGTAATTAACTTGTGGAGAATAGCTTAATGAGAGCATATTTCTGCTAGAAGGAGTTGAGATTTGAAGGGAACCACTATTATTATTAATGTTACACGAGGAAAAAATTTTTGTGAACTATTTTCATGGTCTGCTCATACTACTAGCACATTTGAAACAATATGATGAACGTGAGAGCTTGATCTCTTGCAAATTGTGATTTCCGGAGAGGTAAGGAAGGGGCACATAGGCATATGCCCAGTGTATTGTTCTGGTTATATCTGTATGAGAAAATACATTATTAATAAACAACTCTCAGGAAAACAATAGCAACCACCCAGTTCTGAATCTCCCCATATTCGCTCTAGAAAGCCATCAAATTGTTTAAAAGAGTAATTAAAACTGTGATTTTTTTACTCTGACAAAAATACACATTACAATATTTAGGGATAAAGGGCTGAGGTATGCCACTTGCCCTCAGACTGTTCAGAGGAGAAAAACTTTCTGACTTTTCAAGTAAGATCACTGATTTATGCATTCATTGTTCATTCATTCCACAAGCATCATCTGTTACATATGCTTTATTCAACATTACTTCTCCAAATTGAGTGCCTGTTATTTGATATGTGCTTAGTAGGTATATCTAGTAAAACTAGTGCTACTTCTTACAGTCAAAAAAAATGTAGAACCCCAGCTTCATAAAACAATGAGAATATTGCTGGCACTTATTGCGGTTCACCTAAAGATGTATTAGAATTAATTTGCATGTCAGAGAGTAAAACTTTCCAAACTCCCTCAAAGTTTCACTTTCAAAAGTAACTACCCACATCTCTTAAACCTTTCTATTTGCAAATTTAATGGAACTCCTCACTTTCTTCTTACTTCCCTTTCCCCTGTCAGACTAAACTCTTCCAATCTCTACTCTAAGTCCTTTTTTGCCATTTCTTATGTTGATGATCAGAACCTCTCGGATTCTTGCAGTCTCTCTTCTGCTATACCCAGCATATTGAGGGTCTTATAGACACAAAAAAATGACTGTGACCCAGAGCAAAAGGGAGAAGGAGTTCAGGGATGCAATGAAAGTGGAAATGGAAGGAAAATACTTAAAATAATTGTATATTTTCCTTTATTCCTATAACATAGTTGTATGTGGAATAAGTAAAAGACAGTATTCTACTGTTTCTTCAAATAAAAAAAAAGACAGTTTCTTTTTTGAAAACTTCCCAGTATGGTATCTAGTCTAGACTCTAGACAAGAAAGAAGCAAAAGGAGAGAGATAGAGAGAGGAAAAAGAGAAGAAGGAGGAAGAGGAAGAAGAAGAAGAAAGCAGGGAGGAAGAGAGAAAAGAAGTAAAGAAGGATTCGGGTATGAAAGGACAATAAATCTCAGGGCCCCAAAATCACTAAGCCAAAGGGAAAGTCAAGCTGGGAATTGCATCAGGCAAACCTGCCTCCCATTTTATTCTAAATAAGATAGGTACAAAGATTTGAAAAGCTACATACCTCCCTCACAATTAACCCACAAGGAAATTCCTTGTGGCCTCAAGATCTTTACCCTGAAACAGTTCTGCTGGACTTCACCCTTGTGATGTCAATTGTTAGCTTATCTTCACAGGTGCGGGACAAAGGACAGAACTCAAAGTCATCCCTGTGCTCGCCTGAGACAAATGTGTATCATTGCTTCCTCTGCCCTATTGTTTATGTAAAAATGCAGATTCACTGAGCCAGACTAAGACATAAGTGACTATTACTCTACACCTTTCTCACATGTAAATTTTGTCTTTAGCGAAAGGCTAATCAAAGCCCAAAAGAATACAACCTTTGTCTCTTATCTACGTATGACCTGGAAGCAACCCCTCCAACCCAGCTTCAAGTTGTCCTGCCTTTTTGGACCAAATCAAAGTACATCTTCACATATTGATTGATGTCTCTTGTCTCCCTACAATGTATAAAACCAAGCTATGCCATGACCACCTTGGGCACATGTCATCAGAATCTCCTGAGGCTGTGTCACAGACACCTCCTTAACCTTGGCAAAATAAACTTTGTAAATTGTTGGACACCTGTCTCAGATACTTTGGGTTCACACAGGTGGTAATAGAACCATGTATAATATGAGAATTTCTATTGGTGTGATGGCCATATATGCCTTGAGACAGCATTGGGATATGACTGTGATTTTTGTGTGTCTATTTACAGGGCACCCTTCGCTCTCAAGTTTCTCAATTTAGATGAGAAATTATGTTTGACAGATCCACCAGCAGAATAGAATGAGGTCTAACTTTGATATTACAGAAGTACCTTTTCAAAGACAGAGTTGGTCTATATCCATAGGATCTCAAAACTAGATTTTCCCTAGATGAATTCTTCAGGGAAGATATCTGCTAACTGTTGGCTGCTAATTGTAATTTTATTCATGGCTCTTGGGAAAACTGCATACATTTTAACCTATTCATGTAACTGAGTATCCCTCATTTTTCTAATAGGTGGTTTAATTATTATTATTATTTGCTTTCTCTTCTCTTCTTGTTTTCTGGTTCCCCACTTCCTACTTAGCCCTTTAAAAATGCAAATATACTCTTTCTCATCTCCCTTACCAGACATTTCCTGCAATGCAAGTTCTAACTCTTTGCTCCAAGACAGGTCTCTCCTTGAGAGTTGACAGTTGCTTTGCAGACCAAAGCATACCCACCACAGAACTCTCACCTCCAGGGGGTTGCCTTCAAATTTCCACTCTCCAGGATTGTCTTGGGACTTTCATGCACCAGGAGGGCATGTCAAAAGCATGCCGAGTTGGCCACTTTTACAAATTATTTCTTCCATAGAAGGTGTCAACTCAACTGTTCTGTAGATAAGGCACCAAGCTAGTAGAGGGGTCCCCTGCCCTGGCTCAATTTCCCCTCTTACCTTATAAAAATATCCACTTTCTGCTCCAAAGATGAAGTGGCACATTTAAAGGCAGGACACTTTGTGCCCCTTCCTCCAAGTTAGCTTCAGAATAAATTCATATTTTTTGCACAAGACCTCTGTCTTGTTAATTGGACTCTACTTGCAGTGAGAAACTAACTTGCATTTTGGTTACATTCAAACACCAAAAATCTCCAATAAGAGATTAAATGAATCCATTGCTGAGGATGTTCTATGCTGGGCCTTTTCTGACCTTTGGAAAACTAGCTGATTTTTGGATTACAGAGACAATGAACAACAAGGTTTTGATACAGACAGGAGACAGGGAAATAATGGATAGAAGAGGGTGGTTCCCCAGCAAAGGCCCCACCCTCAAACCTGGAAACCCACACCCCTAAATGTGAATAGGCATTCCTGTATTCGCAAGCAAATGTTGCCTTTTGGCCCACCACACTCCCATATCCTGTACCCATATAAACCCCAAACCCCAGGTTCTACGAGCAGAAGAGCAGAGGAGCAGAACAGCAGTGTGGCACAGAAGGAGAGAGGAGAAGGAGTGTCTGAATGTCAAGAGGAGTTCGGCTGGGGGTGGTCAGAGAGGAGATGAGCCGTGGGATGGCTGAACTCCAGGGGACGATCATTTTTCCACTCCATCTCCTTTCCAGCTCCCCATCCTTCCCACTGACAGTCACCTCCATCTGGCAATAAAATCCCCTGCATTTATCATCCTTTAATTTGTCCGTGTGACCTGATTCTTCCTGGACACTGGACAAGGACCTAGGTACCAAGAGGGCACTGAGCTGGTTAACACCTAAGCTGTCTGCAGAAGACAGAGTGAAAAAAGCACTGTGACACCATATTGGGGCTTCCAGAGTCACAAACACCCACCCTTAGAGGTTACTGTGGGGCTGGAGCCCAAAATCACTTGCCCTGGCTCCTGCAACTGCCCATCTAAGTGCTCCTCCTCCTGTAAGTGGTTTGAGCACATAGCAGCCAAACAGATGAGACACACCTGACATCCTGCGAGGGGGGTCAGGGAACTCTCCCATTTCAGTTTCAGTCCCAAACTTCCCAACTTTCAGGGCTAATTTTGATCATCCCAATGATGTCAAATTATTGTCTTCATAGAATAATCAAACAAATCAATGTTCAATTCTGAAATGAAATTAAGACAGCCTTGATTGAGCCACTCTAGAAATCGAGTGCTGTAGACTGAATCTGTTGAAAGCACATGTTCCAAATTTCTTAAAAAACATACTCTATACATGTGAGCCTATTTTATGTAACAAGTGGGAAATTTTTTAAATCTTTCTAGAACTCAACATTGGTACTTTTTAGGAATGAGGGTCAAAGAATAGGAAACACGTAATTTTTAAAACTTCCTGCACTCTCGTATCACCTTTTCCTGATAAGTTTCCTGCCTCAGATATCAGCCATATGCAACCAATTAATGAATAAACAGTTCTCTTTGAGAATTCAAAAAGCTCAGTTATCTGACTGATTGAAATGTCTGGCTTAGCTTCCTAGCGGTTCTTTTCTCTTGTATGTAAATTTAAGTTGTTCCTGCCAAAATTTGCATATAAAGAATCTGTGGTTTTTAAATATATATAGTCTTTAAGGCTTCTTTATCTCATTTTTTAAAAAGCCCCCAAGGAAGGAGGAAATGGTGAATTACTAATCAATAGGCATAAGGTTTCAGATAAGCAAGATGAATAAGCTCTAGCAATCTGCTGTCTAACTTTGTACTGATAATTAACAATATGTATTGTATGTTTTAAAATGTGTTAATATGGTAGATCTCATGTTACGTGTTCTTATCACAATGAATATGGATTTAAAAAAAAAAAGCCTGATGAGGTTGGTGTGTGACCCTCTCAGAGAAAATACAATCTGAAAATGACTAGGTATCAAGTGACAAGTATGTATTCTACTATACTGTACTGTTCCTGTTAAATCTCTAATGAAGTTTGAAGCAGCACTTTAAAGTTTTTCATGTCTTCTAGTTTAATTCAGTTTCCTTAATCTGCAAAATAAAATGCTGCGATAAAACAAGTCCTATTCAAAAGTGAATGTTTTGAAAATAAAATTACCCAGAGGAGATAACGTTCAAATTCAACACATAGTTTTTAAAGACTCATTATATACCAAGCAGTGTTAGGTACTGTGAGGAACATAAAAATAAAGATGACACAGTTTAGTCCTCCTGGAACTCATAGTCTAGTGGAGGAGGAAAAAGCCATAAATAAGCCCATGCAAGACAGCCTGAATATGAGACATAATAATGTAGAATGGAGGAGTTGTGTGAAAACAAAATCAAGTCCCACCCTGAACAAGTTGACAACTTCCTAGCAGAGACAAATCTTCCACCAATGCTAACATCACGCAGAATGTCTTAAGAGGCTTATTAAAAGTGTACAAAATGCAATTGTATCAGATACAAACATTTGTAAAGTGTCTAGTATTTGCTAATCTCTATGCATAACACTGGCATATTCATTGGATCATTTAAAGAAAGGTGATATTAATTCTGAGAGGAACTTGAGGAAGTTCTGATGGATATCTAGAAAGCGGTACAAATTGAACAAAAGCAAGAGCTTATAATTTTGCTCCCCTGGCTGGTTTGTCAGAGACCTCCATCTGTTCTCCAGCACCTGTGCATTTTTTCATAATACCATTGTACAAGTTATGTGGGCAACAGCCCATCACCAAGTACAGTGTTGACTATCTCAACCTGTCAACCTGGGAAAAATGAGACACATCATTAAAGATTACTGATAGGGATACCCTAGCAAAAATTTAGTGATCTCAAAGTTCTAAAAATTTAAGGATTTTATGTTTTGTTTTGCATAAGGGAAGTTTCATGGCAAATGTCTTAACATTTGGCTGTAATTGGTCAGACTTGTTTTTTCTTTAGTTCTTCAGGCAATATAAAACAACCAGGCCAGGCACAGTGGCTCACGCCTGTAATCCCAGCACTTTGGGAGGCCGAGACAAGCGGATCATGAGGTCAGGAGTACAAGACCAGCCTGGGCAACATAATGAAACCTGGTCTCTATTAAAAATACAAAAAAAAATTAGCCAGGCGTGGTGGCGCGTGCCTGTAATCCCAGCTACTCGGGAGGCTGAGGCAAGAGAATCACTTGAACCTGGGAGGTGGAGTTTGCGGTGAGCCGAGATCACGCCATAGCACTCCAGCCTGGCAACAGAGTGAGACCACCTCAAAAAAAAGAACAAAAAATGCAAAATATATATATACCTTAGTAACTAAGAATAAGAAGGACAAAGAGCCAAAAGGGGCTATATTTTAGAAATTCCTGACTCATAATGTTGTAGTATTAGTGTTTCACCAGCAAAATTTAGTGGTAAAGAGAATACGATACTCAAATTTGAATGTATTATATTGATCCTTGAATATTTTGTCTATAATCGTGTCAGTTTTTAATGTTTTTTTACTTCCAAAAATATAAATGATACTGTGGTGGAAAAATAGGCCCTACAATTGTGCGATCTTTACTTAATTATGGTACGGTACACGTTGTTCTAACAGCTGCCGGAAATCAAAGCTGGTTGCATGTAAATGGCAATAGCATAATCATGATGCAACTCAAAGTTGATCTGGTCCATTGAAAATTGATGTCATGCACCATATGTAGTGTACAATTCCTACAAATTGACAGGTATGAATTTCACAGGCCAGCATCCAATTTTCTTTAGGAAAACTGGTCTGTAGTCCTTTCAATCTTGCAAATTACCCAAGGATCTTAATGTATATTAAATGTACCTAAAGTTGACTATGAAAATGGCAATGATCTTTAAATGTACCCTGATGATTTGTAGCTTCTTTTTTTTCATGTAATGTCAGAGTGACCTGTGTACTAAAATTAATGGCTGCCTGATTGCTTATACTTCAGGGTTTTTGTTGTTGTTGTTTTTTGTTTTTTTAGTTTACCAGCTCTGCAGATGATTTCTATAAAGAAGAAAATTACAAATGTCATCAATTAATTATCATGACTTCTTATTTATTTATTTATTTATTATTATACTTTGAGTTTTAGGGTACATGTGCACAATGTGCAAGTTAGTTACATATGTATACATGTGCCATGCTGGTGTGCTGCACCCACTAACTCATCATCTAGCATTACGTATATCTCCCAATGCTATCCCTCCCCCCTCCCCCCACCCCACAACAGTCCCCAGAGCATGATGTTCCCCTTCCTATGTCCATGTGTTCTCATTGTTCAATTCCCACCTATGAGTGAGAATATGCGGTGTTTGGTTTTTTGTTCTTGTGATAGTTTACTGAGAATGATGATTTCCAATTTCATCCATGTCCCTACAAAGGACATGAACTCATCATTTTTATGGCTGCATAGTATTCCATGGTACATATGTGCCACATTTTCTTAATCCAGTCTATCATTGTTGGACATTTGGGTTGGTTTCAAGTCTTTGCTATTGTGAATAATGCCGCAATAAACATACATGTGCATGTGTCTTTATAGCAGCATGATTTATAGTCTTTTGGGTATATACCCAGTAATGGGATGGCTGGGTCAAATGGTATTTCTAGTTCTAGATCCCTGAGGAATCACCACACTGACTTCCACAATGGTTGAACTAGTTTACAGTCCCACCAACAGTGTAAAAGTGTTCCTATTTCTCCACATCCTCTCCAGCACCTGTTGTTTCCTGACTTTTTAATGATTGCCATTCTAACTGGTGTGAAATGCTATCTCATTGTGGTTTTGATTTGCATTTCTCTGATGGCCAGTGATGGTGAGCATTTTTTCATGTGTTTTTTGGCTGCATAAATGTCTTCTTTTGAGAAGTGTCTGTTCATGTCCTTCTCCCACTTTTTGACGGGGTTGTTTGTTTTTCTCTTGTAAATTTGTTTAGTTCATTGTATATTCTGGATATTAGCCCTTTGTCAGATGAGTAGGTTGTGAAAATTTTCTCCCATTTGGTGGGTTGCCTGTTCACTCTGATGGTAGTTTCTTTTGCTGTGCAGAAGCTCTTTAGTATAATTAGATCCCATTTGTCAATTTTGGCTTTTGTTGCCATTGCTTTTGGTGTTTTAGATATGAAGTCCTTGCCCATGCCTATGTCCTGAATGGTAATGCCTAGGTTTTCTTCTAGGGTTTTTATGGTTTTAGGTCTAACGTTTAAGTCTTTAATCCATCTTGAATTGATTTTTGTATAAGGTGTAAGGAAGGGATCCAGTTTCAGCTTTCTACATATGGCTAGCCAGTTTTCCCAGCACCATTTATTAAATAGGGAATCCTTTCCCCATTGTTTGTTTTTCTCAGGTTTGTCAAGATCAGATAGTTGTAGATATGTGGTGTTATTTCTGAGGGCTCTGTTCTATCCCATTGATCTATATCTCTGTTTTGGTACCAGTACCATGCTGTTTTGGTTACTGTAGCCTTGTAGTATAGTTTGAAGTCAGGTAGTGTGATGCCTCCAGCTTTGTTCTTTTGGCTTAGGATTGACTTGGTGATGCGGGCTCTTTTTTGCTTCCATATGAACTTTAAGGTAGTTTTTTCCAATTCTGTGAAGAAAGTCATTGGTAGCTTGATGGGGATGGCATTGAATCTGTAAACTACCTTGGACAGTATGGCCATTTTCAAGATATTGATTCTTCCTATCCATGAGCATGGAATATTCTTCCATTTGTTTGTATCCTCTTTTATTTCCTTGAGCAGTGGTTTGTAGTTCTCCTTGAAGACGTCCTTCACATCCCTTGTAAGTTGGATTCCTAGGTATTTTATTCTCTTTGAAGCAATTGTGAATGGGAGTTCACTCATGATTTGGCTCTCCATTTGTCTGTTGTTGGTGTATAAGAATGCTTGTGATTTTTGTACATTGATTTTGTATCCTGAGACTTTGCTGAAGTTGCTTATCAGCTTAAGGAGATTTTGGGCTGAGACAGTGGGGTATTCTAGATATACAATCATGTCATCTGCAAACAGGGACAATTTGACTTCCTCTTTTCCTAATTGAATACCCTTTATTTCCTTCTCCTGCCTAATTGCCCTGGCCAGAACTTCCAACACTATGTTGAATAGGAATGGTGAGAGGGGGCATCCCTGTCTTGTGCCAGTTTTCAAAGGAAATGCTTCCAGTTTTTCCCCATTCAGTATGATATTGGCTGTGGGTTTGTCATAGATAGCTCTTATTATTTTGAGATATGTCCCATCAATACCTAATTTATTGACGGTTTTAACATGAAGAGTTGTTGAATTTTGTCAAAGGCCTTTTCTGCATCTATTGTGATAATCATGTGGTTTTTGTCTTTGGTTCTGTTTATATGCTGTATTACGTTTATTGATTTTTGTATGTTGAACCAGCCTTGCATCCCAGCGATGAAGCCCACTTGATCATGGTGGATAAGCTTTTTGATGTGCTGCTGGATTCGGTTTGCCAGTATTTTATTGAGGATTTTTGCATCAATGTTCATCAAGGATATTGGTCTAAAATTCTCTTTTTTGGTTGTGTCTCTGCCCAGCTTTGGTATCAGGATGATGCTGGCCTCATAAAATGAGTTAGGGAGGATTCCCTCTTTTTCTAGTGATTGGAATAGTTTCAGAAGGAATGGTACCAGTTCCTCCTTGTACCTCTGGTAGAATTCGGCTGTGAATCCATCTGGTCCTGGACTCTTTTTGGTTGGTAAGCTATTGATTATTGCCGCAATTTCAGCTCCTGTTATTGGTCTATTCAGAGATTCAACTTCTTCCTGGTTTAGTCTTGGGAGGGTGTATGTGTCGAGGAATTTATCCATTTCTTCTAGATTTTCTACTTTATTTGCGCAGAGGTGTTTGTAGTATTCTCTGATGGTAGTTTGTATTTCTGTGGGATCGGTGGTGATATCCCCTTTATCATTTTTTATTGCGTCTATTTGATTCTTCTCTCTTTTTTTCTTTATTAGTCTTGCTAGTGGTCTATCAATTTTGTTGATCCTTTCAAAAAACCAGCTCCTGGATTCATTAATTTTTTGAAGGGTTTTTTGTGTCTCTATTTCCTTCAGTTCTGCTCTGATTTTAGTTATTTCTTGCCTTCTGCTACTTTTGAATGTGTTTGCTCTTGCTTTTCTAGTTCTTTTAATTGTGATGTTAGGGTGTCAATTTTGGATCTTTCCTGCTTTCTCTTGTGGGCATTTAGTGCTATAAATTTCCCTCTACACACTGCTTTGAATGTGTCCCAGAGATTCTGGTATGTTGTGTCTTTGTTCTCATTGGTTTCAAAGAACATCTTTATTTCTACCTTCATTTCATTATGTACCCAGTAGTCATTCAGGAGCAGGTTGTTCAGTTTCCATGTAGTTGAGCGGTTTTGAGTGAGATTCTTAATCCTGAGTTCTAGTTTGATTGCACTGTGGTCTGAGAGACAGCTTGTTATAATTTCTGTTCTTTTACATTTGCTGAGGCGTGCTTTACTTCCAACTATGTGGTCAATTTTGGAATAGGTGTGGTGTAGTGCTGAAAAGAATGTATATTCTGTTGATTTGGGATGGAGAGTTCTGTAGATGTCTATTAGGTCAGCTTGGTGCAGAGCTGAGTTCAATTCCTGGATATCCTTGTTAACTTTCTGTCTCGTTGATCTGACTAATGTTGACAGTGGGGTGTTAAAGTCTCCCATTATTATTGTGTGGGAGTCTAAGTCTCTTTGTAGGTCACTAAGGACTTGCTTTATGAATCTGGGTGCTCCTGTATTGGGTACATATATATTTAGGATAATTAGCTCTTGTTGAATTGATCCCTTTACCATTATGTAATGGCCTTCTTTGTCTCTTTTGATCTTTGTTGGTTTAAAGTCTGTTTTATCCGAGACTAGGATTGAAACCCCTGCCTTTTTTTGTTTTCCATTTGCTTGGTAGATCTTCCTCCATCCCTTTATTTTGAGCCTATGTGTGTCTCTGCACATGAGATGGGTTTCCTGAATACAGCACACTCATGGGTCTTGACTCTTTATCCAATTTGCCAGTCTGTGTCCTTTAATTGGAGCATTTAGTCAATTTACATTTAAAGCTAATATTGTTATGTGTGAATTTGATCCTGTCATTATGATGTTAGCTGGTTATTTTGCTCGTTAGTTGATGCAGTTTCTTCCTAGTCTCGATGGTCTTTATATTTTGGCATGATTTTGCAGCGGCTGGTACCGGTTGTTCCTTTCCATGTTTAGCGCTTCCTTCAGGAGCTCTTTTAGGACAGGCCTGGTGGTGACAAAATCTCTCAGCATTTGCTTGTCTGTAAAGGATTTTATTTCTCCCTTACTTATGAAGCTTAGTTTGGCTGGATCTGAAATTCTGGGTTGAAAATTCTTTTCTTTAAGAATGTTGAATATTGGCCCCCACTCTCTTCTGGCTTGTAGAATTTCTGCTGAGAGATCCGCTGTTAGTCTGATGGGCTTCCCTTTGTGGGTAACCCGTCCTTTCTCTCTGGCTGCCCTTAACATTTTTTCCTTCATTTCAACTTTGGTGAATCTGACAATTATGTGTCTTGGAGTTGCTCTTCTCAAGGAGTATCTTTGTGGCGTTCTCTGTATTTACTGAGTCTGAATGTTGGCCTGCTTTGCTAGATTGGGGAAGTTCTCCTGGATAATATCCTGCAGAGTGTTTTCCAACTTGGTTCCATTCTCCCCATCACTTTCAGGTACACCAATCAGACGTAGATTTGGTCTTTTCACATAGTCCCATATTTCTTGGAGGCTTTGCTCGTTTCTTTTTATTCTTTTTTCTCTAAACTTCCCTTCTCGCTTCATTTCATTCACTTCATCTTCCATCACTGATACCCTTTCTTCCAGTTGATCGCATCGGCTCCTGAGGCTTCTGCATTGTTCACGTAGTTCTCGAGCCTAGGTTTTCAGCTCCATCAGCTCCTTTAAGCACTTCTCCGTATTGGTTATTCTAGTTATACATTCTTCTAAATTTTTTTCAAAGTTTTCAACTTCTTTGCCTTTGGTTTGAATTTCCTCCCGTAGCTCAGAGTAATTTGATCGTCTGAAGCCTTCTTCTCTCAGCTCGTCAAAGTCATTCTCCATCCAGCTTTGTTCCGTTGCTGATGAGGAACTGCGATCCTTTGGAGGAGGAGAGGCGCTCTGCTTTTTAGAGCTTCCAGTTTTTCTGTTCTGTTTTTTCCCCATCTTTGTGGTTTTATCTACTTTTGGTCTTTGATGATGGTGATGTACAGATGGGTTTTTGGTGTGGATGTCCTTTCTGTTTGTTAGTTTTCTTTCTAGCAGACAGGACCCTCAGCTGCAGGTCTGTTGGAGTACCTGGCCGTGTGAGGTGTCAGTCTGCCCCTGCTGGGGGGGTGCCTCCCAGTTAGGCTGCTTGGGGGTCAGGGGTCAGGGACCCACTTGAGGAGGCAGTCTGCCCGTTCTCAGATCTCCAGCTGTGTGCTGGGAGAACCACTACTCTCTTCAAAGCTGTCAGACAGGGACATTTAAGTCTGCAGAGGTTACTGTTGTCTTTTTGTTTGTCTGTGCCCTGCCCCCAGAGGTGGAGCCTATAGAGGCAGGGAGGCATCCTTGAACTGTGGTGGGCTCCACCCAGTTCGAGCTTCCTGGCTGCTTTGTTTACCTAAGCAAGCCTGGGCAATGGTGGGCGCCCCTCCCCCAGCCTCGCTGCCACCTTGCATTTTGATCTCAGACTGCTGTGCTAGCAATCAGCTAGACTGTGTGGGCCTAGGACCCTCCGAGCCAGGTGCAGGACATAATCTCCTGGTGCGCCCTTTTTTAAGCCCGTCAGAAAAGCGCAGTTTTCGGGTGGGAGTGACTCGATTTTCCAGGTGCTGTCTGTCACCCCTTTCTTTGACTAGGAAAGGGAACTCCCTAACCCCTTGGGCTTCCCGAGTGAGGCAATGCCTCGCCCTGCTTCGACTGGCGCTCAGTGCACGCACCCACTGATCTGCGCCCACTCTCTGGCACTCCCTAGTGAGATGAACCCTGTACCTCAGATGGAAATGCCATTTTCATGACTTCTATTGAAGATACATTAACTTAGTTGTATTAGGTTTAGAAGTATTCCTCAGATTACTTAGTCTATTAGCACTTTGAGTTTATCTATCTAATGTAATGGTATTATTCTTTTCATCTGCTAGTTAAATTTTTTTTAAAAAAAACACTGCTCCAACTGCCAAAGATTTATTTTCTCAAATTTGTTAACCCCAAATTGTTACCATATAATTAAATATAATCACAGCTAATGTTGCCTTATTCAATGTTCTTAAATATATTTAAACTTCTCCAATCTGCATTTTGGTGTTTCAAAAACAATTTGTGTTCTTCCTGGCATTAATTCATTAACATTTATCTGACAAAATATCAAATTTTGGGATGACATAAGAGTACTATAGAAAATATTGACTTACGTTGTGAAATGCATTTACACAAAAAATTTTAAATTCTTAATACATCCTTTTTGTATAGACTTCTATACAGATTTAGCATGCAATGTTTGTTGAAAGTCGAATTAGTCATGATATGCTAGCCTATCTTTGTTAAAAAGAAAAATACAAGAAATCTGAAATTTTAGTAGTTTAATCCAGTAAGGATTTATTTCTTGCTCACATCAAGTCCAGTGCAAATTGGGCACCCCTCCTTCATCTCATAGCTACCTTGGTAACACATGGTTTCCAAACTCCCCACCTCAGAAGAAGAGAGAGGAGAAGAATTGTTGCATGAGTTGTTTTTAAGGGACAGGCCTAGGTGTGATTTACCTTGGCAAGTGGCCAGGACACAGTCACATGGCCATAATGTAACTGCGAGGGAACTTGGAAAACTCCCATGTGCCCAGAAGGAGGAAAGTGAAATGGAATTTGGTAAACACATAGCATTGTCCCTACCACACACAGTCTTCGAGAAAAATGCTTGCAGGGCTGGAGAAAACAAGATGCATTTTTTTTAATGTAGTTAAAAATCTGAGTTAGTTTCATGCTAGTGTAAAATGACATTTTGAGTCACAGACACCATGAACCTCAATGTGAAAATATCACTTAAAAATTAACCTTTTGATTTTAAAACAAATCCAAAGCTCTTTATGCCTTTTTATCAAAGGTAAGAGGCTGTTTAAAATGTGGCACTAACCTAAATATTTCATATACTTCTTCCAATGAGGAAGGTCATATGATTTCCCTTTCAGACTCTTTTTAGATCATCTTGTTTCTTACGTGAATTATCTCACACCCACCACATCTCTGCTGCTATCAGAGACAAATGTAGCCTCTCGTTTGGAGCCTCTTCTTACAGGTCAGGTATTCATTCTGATTATTCACCATCTGTGCTGTTTTCATTAATAAATAGTTTGAATATTACCATTTCAGTATTTACACATTCTCTTGCACTCATGTGCATACAGGCACACATCTGTACACAGTTATTCATGCACACACACACGATGGTCACCATCAATTTACTTTCCTCTTCCTTGCTTTATTCTCTTCCTGTGCTTTTTTTAATATGCATTTATTTGTTTTTTTGTTTTGTATACTGTTACATCCCTTTCCACTAGGACAGGATCTGGCAGCTAGGTGCTGCTTAATTAATAGTTGATAAATAACTGAGTAAATGAAGGTGTTTTATGTTTCAATGTCAGTGAGGGTATGTATCTCTCTGTGCTCCCCTTTTATCATATGAAAAAAACAAGGTAAGAATCTTTGACTTCTAAGTTGATTTTAGAAACTGTGCAATGTCCCAAGAAAAATTATGGCATTTATTTTTTGAAAAAATCTTAATTTACGTAATGTGACCCCAGATTTTTTTTAGAAGAAAAACTAAGGTTTGGAGAGTCAAAGCAGCTTGCCTATAGCTGGTGTTACTCATGTTGCACACTCGCAAATGTATTGTTACCCAGATCTGTGTGAGAAGAATTATCTTTTTTTTCATTTTACTTTCCATAACTGATTTTATCTTTCTCACGAGCGCTAACCCTTTGAAAGGCAAGTGGGAAAGTGGAAGGTAATAGTGTGTAGAGATTCAGTTTTAAAAGTTTTATAGGGAACTCAATCTCATTTGGGTAAATGCTAGTTTTCAGACTTTTTCCTTCTTCTCCTGATCCCCAAAATGGCATCTGGATGCATGTAAGAGCTTAAGAAATCTGTTGGTGATGGAAGAAGGGATGTTGGAGAAATGCCTTCTCTCTGGTATTTTCCAGGTTCTGGGATAGGTTTGGTCCATGACTGATGTCTACTGCCATGGAACTGCTCATCCAGGCTTTCAGAGAATTTCCATGTTCCTGACACTAAAGTCGGTGGCCCTGGCCCTGTATTTCTAATCAGGAAGTTCCTGTATACCATGCTGGGTTTTTTCCCAACCCTAATTCCCCCTGGGTACATTGATCTTGGCACTTCACTGGCCACAGATCAGAGCCTGAAGGAACTTGTGGACCCTTCTTCCTAGTCACCTGCAAGCACCAGTGTTGTGACATCTTTACCCAGCCACCTCTAATCACCAATGATGGAAATGACACAAAGCCTAATGCAAGGATTTTCTTAGAAGCCTATTACCTTTCCAGATTCTGAATCAGTAAGAAAGCTACTAGCATCAAATATATTGAGTCTCTTCAAATTCATGTGGATGTTTGTATAGCACCATTCCACAAAAATCCACCAAGTGTGTGTATTGGATGGAAGGGGAAGAGCCACTAGTGTGTGAGGGTTGGGGAGGACACTGGAGTCCAACATCTCTCTGATTTCTGCCTCTTCCTTTTCTTCATACATTTCACTGGGTTGGATCAATCTGACTTTACAATTTCTGCAATGTTTGACAAGAATTCTTCTTACAATATATCTAATTCACTATAATTCCTTGTTTAATCTGGTACAGATTACACTTAGTGTGCCATTTTGCTCTCAAAATTGTCCCAGTTCAGATGCTAAATTATACGGTCATTTTACTTAAAAAAAAAAAAATCTGTTTCCAGATCTCTAAATTTGCTTTGACATGCAAACAAGGTTTAAGGAAATTTAGAAATCTAGAAATCATTTCTCCATGGACAAAACCTGACTTTCAAGAAAATTAATCAATCCTAAGGCTGGACAAAGGAGAGAACAATGTGAGCCTTACTGTAGGCCAAGCACTAGGTAAAGTACTTCTTGGGACATTGTGGAAGGTGCTATTAGTATACCTGTATTGGTCAGAGTTCTCCAGAGAAATAGAACCAATAGATGTTAAAAATATATATATATGAAAACATATTCCCATAGAATGCCAAGATAAGGTGTCCACACAGATAAGGTGTCCCATAGATAAGTCTATACATGGACAGATATTTATTTTTCAAAACTGACTTATGCAATAATAGAGGTTGGCAAGGTCAAAATCTACTGGGTGGGCTGGCAGACCGGAGACCCTGGGAGGGCCAATGCTGCAATTCCAGTCCAAAGGTAGTCTGCTGCAGAATTCCCTCTTGCTCAGGGGAGGTCACTCTTTGTTCTATTCAGGACTTCAAGTGATTGGATGAGGCCCACTCATGTTATAGGGCAATCTCTACTCCAAGTCCACTGACGTAAATGTGCATCTCAATCAAAAACAACCAAAAGAATGTTTAGACAGATATTTGGGCACCATGGCCCAATCAGGTTGACACATACAATTAACCATCACAAGGCTCACTTGTCAGATAAGAAGACAGAAGCATAGGGAAATTACTCACATGAGATCACAAGCTAGTAAGTTACAGGGCCAGAACTCCAACAAGGTTTATTTGTTTGGAAATTTAGCACTCTAAACCACCATGCTTTACAACAGGACAACTGAGAGTTTGATAAGTTAATTGGGAAAGTTGGATCTTTCCAGACAAATGAAATAGTATGCATCAAGGCTCAGAATATTAAAAATGCCTGGCTTGTCAAGGAAATACGGTAAAGTCCAGCATCTTCATAATGAATTTTCTACTTAGTTTGTTACATATTTTTTAATTGGTCACTCTATATTGACCTGGTTTCTAATGATTTACACGTTTCTTAACTGATACACCTAGAATATCAGAAAACTGTGACCTGAAACCCACAGATATTCTTGGTCACCCACAGATTTCCTTTCTCATCCTTATGCATTGTTTTTACATCCTTAGCTCGAGTTGAGGGATGGTTTTAGAGCTTGCTGTGCCGAACAGACAATTCTGTTTACTTTTGAGTTGTCCTTAAGTGTGTCTCTGAAGTGAACATTCCCGAAAAGAGTTCACTTTCATTTCTTAAGGCAAGAAAACATTTTGCTTCTCCTGAAATACTAGTATTTTCCTTTTGCACAGACAATGCAAATCATATAACTAACTCTGCTCTGTTTTTGTTTTTATTTTTTGCTTTGGCAACTGGAAAGGCCAAAGACATATTTATAATTCTATTGTAATAATTATTCTTTTTTTTTTTTTGATGGAGTCTCACTTTGTTGCCCAGGCTGGAGTGCAGTGGCACAATCTCGGCTCACTGCAACCTCTGCCTCCCTGGTTCAAGTGATTCTCCTGCTTCAGCCTCCCAAGTAGCTGGGATTACAGGCACATGCCACTACACCAGGCTGATTTTTGTATTTTCAGTAGAGAAGGGGTTTCACCATGGTGGCCAGGCTGGTCTTGAACTCCTGGCCTCAGGTGATCCACCTGTCTCAGCCTCCCAAAGTGCTGGGATTACAGGCGTGAGCCGCTGCTCCCAGCCTTGTTGTAATAATTATTCTTATTTCTCCTCACCCCTGCTCTCTTATCTTTATCATTCAATTTTAATTTTGTTTTACTTTTATATACTTCTATTTTTATTGATATTCTTAAGAACCACTTCACATTCTTTAGCTGCAAAACAGGGAATAGAAGAATAAATGTGTGAGCGAATAAATCAATGAGCAAGTGAATAAACAAACAAACAAGTGACAAAGAAATAAATAGCTTTCCATGACTTAGCTCTTGCCGAAAAAAAAAAAAAAAAAGGGAAATTTCAACCCCAAATTCTACCCTGCTAGTTCAAGGGATGATACATTTCACAGGAGTTCATGAAGACCTATGATTGCTTTTTCTCTGATGTCTTGTGAGGCTATTTTTCTCATTAACTCTGACTTATAAATAATTCAATTGATGTCTTGACTCCTATTTGTAGGTTCTGCTTTAGTCACATCTCTTACATTACCAATGCCCTAGGTTCCATGTGCAAATAAAATTTCTATAGCCCTATTTTGACATTATTTGTAAATATCTCAGTGTACTTATAGCTTAGGTCCTAGTTACAAGATCTCTCTCTCTCTCTCTCTCTCTCTGTCTCTCTTTCCAACAAAATCTCCATGTTGTGTGTATCAGTGGTACATTCCTTTTTATTGCTGAAGAGTATGTTATTGTATGAATCTACCACAGTTTTTAATCATTCACCACTTGAAGGACATTTTGTTTCTAGTTTTTGACAATTATGAATAGTGTTGACATAAATTCTCACATACAGGTTTTTGCATGAATATAAGGTTTTATTTCAGGGGAACCAATAAATACCTAGGAGTGGGATTGCGAAGCTATAAGAGAAGTAAATGTTTTTAATAAGAAGTCACCAAACTGGTTTTTAAATTGGCTGTACCTTTTTTCATTTTCACCAGTAATACAAGAAAGTGCTCGCTATTGTCAGGTTTATTATTTTTTTATCTTTAGCCATTTTGGTAGGAGTGCAGTGGCAGCTCATTGTGGTCTTAATTTGCATTTCTCTGATTACTGATAATATTCAACATCTTTTCATGTTCTTACTTATTACCTACTCAAAAATTTAAATCTGTAAAGAGAGCTAAAGATAGTTACCTTCAAATGTATAGATAACATTTTTATATCAATAGAGTTGTGATAGAGCTAAGACATGAGTGATAAGAAAGATAAAACCAGGCTAAAGCATTCTGCTATGTTCGGAAAGACACTGGCATGAATCTTAATTGATAGAGTCTATTCAAACCTCCTTCAGGGGAGAGACTATAGGATTTATTCCTGAGTACATGGTAATATATCTACCTCAGTTAAACTGAGCTGAATGGGTCAAATTAAGGTAATTGAAGCCCCTGCAACTCTTCTGCCTCTTCAAGATAAGAATTTCTTGATGCTATAACTTCTTGAGATTTTCCATCTCTTTTCTAAAAAGGTAGAAACATATGAAAATAAATACTTTTGTCTATATTAACTGTCATTCCTTAGATCATCGAATTTTCCTTTAGGATTTTAGTTCTCCCACTAACATTAGAAAACAGATACAAGTGGCCATAAAATTTAATATTTATATTTAAATATCTATATTATTTAAGATATTTAAGTATATATTTATATTTTATATAATTTATATTATTTATTATATTTATATTCTTTATATTATTCATTTATATATTAAATATATATTTATTTTATATAAAATATATGTAAATATCATACATAATATTTAAATATATTTAAATATCTATATTATATATTTTATTATATACATATATTTTATATATTAAATATACATATTTAAATATGTATTATATGTACATATTTAAATATTATATATAATATGTATATATTAACTATGTACATATTATAAATATTTAATATACACATATTTAATATACATATTAATATACACATATTTAATATACATATATTTAATATACATATTAATATATGTATTTAATATACATTAAATATACGTGTTTAATATGCATATTTAATATACTTATTTAATATGCGTATTTAATATATACATATTAATTATATGTAATATGTATATATTAAATGTAAATAGCTTATAGTAAAGGAAATATATACAATATGTGCATATTTAAATATATATAATATGTATATATTAAATATGTACATATTGTATATAATATTTAATATGTACATATTTAATATACATATTTTATATATTAAATATACATATTTAATAGATACATATTTAAATATTATATATAATATGTATATATTAAATATAAATAGTTTATAGTAAAGGACATTTGCAGGAGATGAGCTATATAAACCAAGCATCCTTTTCAGATAACAAAAGCTACTAACATCTTGCTATGGCTTGAATATCTGTTCCCTTCAAAACTCAAGTTGAAACTTAAACCCTCTTATTGAGAGATGAGCCTTTAAGAGGGGATTGGGTCATGAGGGCTCTTCACGGATTCATGGATTAATAGATTAATGGGTTATTGGGTTTATAGGTTATCAGGAGAGTGGGACTGGTGGCTTTATAAGAAGAGAAAGAGAAAGCTGAGTTAGAACACTCAGTCCTCTCACTGTATGATGCCCTGCTCCGCCTCCAGACTCTGCAGAGTCCCCACCAGCAAGAAGACTCTCTCCAGATGTGGCCCCTCGACCTTGAACTTCTCAGCTTCCATAACTGTAAGAAATAAATTCCTTTTGTTTATAAATTACCCAGTTTCAAGTATTCTTTCATAAGCAACAGAAAATGGACTGAGACACATCTATATTGAAATTTTCTTTTTTACAACATTCGTTGAGCTCTGAGTCCACAAAGATACTAATATGAAAGTAAGAGAATAAGTTAACCTGCCAGTAAAGGTGGCGGCTTTGAGAACCCAAAGCTGTCAAATGAAATTTAGTCTTCAGGTTCCTATCCATGCACCATTGAGGTGCATGAGAATTAAGAGGGAGGTTACACAAACATGCAAATCTTCACTCTCTCTAAAGCAGCGTTCATTACATCATTAATTTATTGAGATGTGTTTATATTTTTATTCATTTCAGACACAAAGGGCTAAGACTTCAAACTATGCAAAGTGAGTAAGCTCTAGTGCAGCTATTGCCAGTGAATAATAGCTTATGGCTGATCACCTAACTATTATATGTCAGATATGCTAATTGCTTCCTTGAGTTTCTCGTACAAAATGTGCTCTTTTTAGTCAACCATTTTTTAGTCAAATACAGCATGTGCATGTGTTCTCTCTCTCTTTGCTTTTGGCAGCTTAATTGCAACACTGTCAAAAAGATCACAGCAAAAAATCTATTCATTTCTCATCATTCTCATTCAAATCTGTCTCACAGTAGTGTGTTTAAATTTGTTAAATAGAAGATTCTGTAAAATGTATATTTTTATAGTATAAATAATCTGTATAACATTTGTTTTTATTAAAGTGAAAAACAAGAGCACTTGTGGATAGAGTTAAAGCATTTAAATTCTCATAAATACTGAGACGAATTTAATGATTAACAAAATACCCATTGTTACTCAATGGTAATGTACGCCCTCTCCCATGGGTTCTGAATAAGCATATATATTTCTTTTTCATTTACCTCTTAAAAATATTTTCTATTAAATGTAACTTCTGACAGAAATCTAAACAGCTTATTTAAATTGTAGTTATATTTTGTATTCTGTAGTTATAAAACACATTAAACATCAGATAACTTCCTGTCACACAGAGATTCCTTAGACTTCTCTTCACTTATAATTATTTTATTGTCTCTGCACTTCAGTAAATATTGTCTTTGTCTTTTATTGTCCTTTTATTGTCTTTTATTGTCTCTGCACTTCAATAAGTATTGTCTCTGCATTTCAGGTCACCAGAAAGAAGTGACAATGCCCAAGTCAAGTTGAACAGTATTCGCATCTATGGAAAGAGTATAATAGCAAACATGAAGGATTATATATCTAAGATTTAGGTGGTGTAGCCCCTAAATCTACCCAAAGCAGTGAGTGGTTAAAGATATGCAATAGTCTTTCATTTCCTATCTGGAGATATTATTTGGCAGACAATATCATTGATAGAACATGTCACCTCAGACCGTTTTAGTGAGCTTTGAAATAGGGTTAAAGTGGCACCAATACTATCTATCAATGAGAATGATAGTGAAGCGGCTTCGTTGTCTGGGGTAAATACCCGAGGTTCGTCTCATGCCAAAAAAATTAAGGACCCAGACACACACAAGGAGTTAGTTTAGGAGCCGGGGTTTAATAGGCAAAAGAAAGAGAAAGGAGTTAAAAGCAGAGGCTTAATAGGAAAAAGAAAGATAAAGGAGAACAGCTCTCTCTTTCTTATGAGAGAGGGGCACCCAAATGGGAATTCTGGCCCACAGTGGAGTGCACCAGATTTTATAGGCAGGCTTGAGGAGCCTGTGTCCGATTTACATACAGCCCACAGATTGGTTCAGCTAGGTGTGACATTTACATAGCCCGTGGGGAAGGCTGGCCACCCCACTATGCAAATGGGCTTTCCACTTGGCCAGCGTTATGCTGTCTACTTCTTACTGTACACGTGGCTGACCAAGAGAAGGGAACATGGAGCCGCCATTTTGAACATGGGTAGTCCCAGGTAGCCTTTTCCTATAGGCACAGCTGCCTGGCATTCACTCATGCAAGCTCCCAGCTTGCTTGCCTGTGTCTGCAGCTTGATTTTACAGACTGCTCTTTGTTAGAAAAGAAAGATGGTTTGAGACTGCTTTTCATTAAAAGGAAATCCTTACTGAGGACTGCCTTACCCTCACTATCTGCCTAAATAATTTCTTCTTAACTCCCATATCAATAGCTATGTGTAACAAAAATAATAGAATCCGAAATAATACTGGCTAAATGTATGGAAGATTATTATTTTTTTTTTTTTTCATTTAAAAGAAGTCCTGAAATAGAGTTCAGGATTAGTGTTGCTGTTTCTTGGTCCTTAGTGTTTAAGTTTCTACTCCTCATTCTAAGTGCATAGCTTTCATCTTCAAGGTTGCTTCATATTCCAACATGGTTATTGGAGCACTGGTCATCACTTAAATATTCTAGGCGGGAAAGAAGACAAGAAGAGAAAAAATATGGTCTCAGTAACTTCTGAATTTTTGGAATTTGTACATTTTTATGTATAAAATTGTAGTGGTATACAATTTTAAATTATTATTTAAACTATATAAAATATGTGTAGTTATTCCATTGCTACTTGGAAAATTTCATATTGTCTCTATATATGCATTATAAAAGTTCCTTTACATATTTCAAATGTCTTATTATTTAGCTCCTCTATTTTCTATAATTATTTTTGACATTTATTTTTAAAGTCTGAAAAAGTATTCCATATAATTGCATTTCTGAAAATATTTCCCTATATCTGTATAGTTTTTTCATATATTTCACTGTGAATATTTAGTGACTCTTCATAGTTCCTTCTGGACCATTTAACCTTTCTTACTTACTTTTCCTTACCTACAGAGTAATGATAGTACCAATGCCATCTCATAGGAATATTGTTAGAAAAAATGAAATAATATACATGAAATATTTAGCAAAACATTTGGCACATTATTGTCAAATTAGAGTTACCCCCGTTTCTGTAATAAATAGTAAACAAATAAAATGTGGTATGATTTTAAGCAATTGGCCTATAACTAAAATAAATTTCTTACACCTTCATGTTAGAAACACTCTCCTTCAAGTATGCAGGTGGCAGTGATATTGGCTCCATAGAGTATAAAATACAAGCATTCTAAGGGAATGGATTTTTGTTTCTTCTGTTTACTCCTATATCTCCAGTGCCTAGAATAGTCCCTGCCACATCATAGGCTCTTAATAATATTGAGTCATCACTGTATACTTCTTGGTCTGGCAGCAAACCATATAAATAAAGCAAATTCTATTTTTGAGTTTTCAACTTCTGAACTCAACCCATGGACAATGCACTGAAGCCTTACTTTGGGTTGCGAAACAAAATACAAATATTGGAAGCTTTTGTAATATAAAAGTGAAGTTATAACAGAAAGAAAACATAAAAGCAAAGAAGGAGGGTGTCAAATCACAGGTTTGATAATAATTTTTATTTTATAGACTTGAAGCAAGATACTGGAGAATGTTATTTGAACACAAAATAGGGGTACATTTATTATTTAAAATTATAGTGGTCAAAGAAGAACCCAGATAATTACATAACAAACATTTGAGTGAGGAAAAGGCAGATCATGTAGGTGAAATAAATTCTCCTCTTCATAACAGGGAGTTAGAGATTGTCTAGAGTTTATAACTAAGTCAATACAGATATGAGCATATTATGTCAATTTAGCACTTGGTGCTACTATGTGACCAAGTATACAGAAGTCCATTGTCATATGTTATGATCCATATGGTTTTTGGAGGGTGCAGACCGGTGATGGAGACCATACTCCTTATCCTTAGAGTTTTTGGGGACATCGCTTAAAACTCTCTGCAGATGTTTTTCATTTAGGTTGACCTGGGGAAGTGGGCTGGATTTCAAAAGCTTTCACTTGGCCTTTGCTATTATACTAGCTCTTACTCTACAGGTTAAGAAACCAATTTGAGAGTTCTGCCAACTTCTAAGTATGTCCATTCCAATTGTAAGCTTGGGAATTATGAAATCACTAAATATATCTGTAGACTCCTTAAACCCACTGTGAGATGGATGATCTCATTTATAATCTGAACTCCATAGGCCCGCATTCTAATAGAGGGGCTTGATGGCACTTTGTTTCCCAGGAGTCTGCGTCAATTTGAGCCACCTGGTCTCTAATTCACCAGCAGGCAGTGGCAGGAATAATTGATCCTGATCATCATGATCACAGGGTGCTACTACATATGGGCATTGGTAGAAATCTACTTAGCCCTCAAGTGTTCCACTTGGTTATCTCTTATATTCCTATGTTACAGTTTTAACTATAAGTGGTCAATTTTAGTAACACAGACTAATAAGTTTATAGTAACCAGCACACAGAACCTTTAAGAATATACGTTTGCAGCATCACACATGATCAGCCACCTACTCCTGCAGAAATATCAAATGAAAGAAAACCCCCCTTGCCCTGTAGGTTAGATCTCATCTCACCCTAAGTGCACCTGAGTACAGAAATCTGGCCCCCTTGCTTCAGTGCAGGAACCACACCATGGTGAACTGTCCTCCAGAGCTCACCACTGATGCATGCTGAAGTTAGGCTCCAGCTGAGCTAATCCCTTGATTAGCTCTGTTTCTCTAGTCACAGCCAGCACCTCTTTCTCCTAAAAGCACTCTCTCAACAACCACACAATCTTTACTGTCACAGGGGCTGTTTCTAGGGATTCCCAAAGTGCTGGGATTACAGGCGTGAGCCACCGCGCCCAGCCTATAGTTAACTTTTCAACAAGTAAAACATGTACACTCTAAAATAATAAAAGTATAATATAGTAAATACATAAACTAGTAACAGTTATTATTATTATATACTATATGCAATTGTACGTGCTATACTTTTATATGACTGGCAGCACAGTAGGTTTGTTTACACCATCATTACCACAAACAGGTGAGTAATGCATTGTGCAACAATGTTATAATGGCTACTACTTCACTAGGAGACAGGAATTTTTCAGCTCCATCATAATCTTATAGGACCACCATCATATGTACAGTCCATCATTAACAAAACATCATTACACAGCACATGATTGCGTATGTATAAACTGGGATATCAATTTATATTTAAATCGATGTTAGTACATCTACATAACAAGCTTGGTTGAATGTTATTTTCCTCACAAAGAGTTTTAATAACACAGTTTATTAAATATACCCCTCCCATTGGTGCATTCTTATGTAAAAATGTAAAATAAAGTATAAAATCAAATCTTCAAAGTTTTGAGATCAAAATTTTAAAAATCTGGGCAGAAATAACAATGGTTCTTTGAATAATAGATGAGATTTGTTCCCTACATTATCTAAGCCATCACAATATTTATGTATTTTTATAATAAATAACTAATTTTACTGACTTTTTACATACTTTATATACTCTGTTTAGTCCCTCTAGGCAGTTCTTCTTACAACTTCTTAAAACATAAAAATGGTTCAGAATTTTTGCTATACATAAAAATATTAATTTTTAAGACTGATTTTTTGTAAAATATGCAGAACTTTATAGATAAGTTATTATTTTTATCATCTATTCTTTTCCCCAGTGTCTTTCCCTCATATATTTTAATACTTAGACACCAAATATTACGTCTCCTTCTCATTTAAGATTTTTCTCTGTCCTTTTTTTTTTTTTTTTTTTTTGAGACAGGGTCTCCCTCTGTCACTCAAGCTGGAGTGCAGTGGCACAATCTCAGCTAACAGCAACCTCCACCTCCCAGGTTCAAGCCATCCTCCCGCCTCAGTCTCCCAAAGAGCTGGGACTACAGGTGTGCATCACCATGTCTGGCAAATTTTTGTATTTTTAGTAGAGACGGGATTAATATGTTGCCCAGACTGGTCTTGAACTTCCGAGCTCAAGCCATCTGCCTGCCTCGGCCTACCAAAGCGCTGAAATGACAGGTGTGAGCCACACTTGGCATTTCTCTCTCCTTTTGAGTGATGAATTTCCACTTATTCACAAAGACTCATCTCAAATGTTACCTTCTCTGAAAAGGATTTTCTGACCCTGTAGCTACATCACAGCAATTGCATACTGCATCTTCCGTAGTATTGCAGCTCTTCAAACAAATCACTTTTGTAGCCTTTATAAATTATAGCTATTTGTCAACTTTAAGTAATGAGATTCATAAAATATGATTAAGTGTAGAGTTTATTCAAACCCAAAGCTGATAATAGCCATCCAGGAGAGACAGAGAAATGGTATCAGCACTCTAAAGTTGAAAGTTAAGGTTTTGCTTATGTAGGAAGAAAACAAAGCAACTTGACAGAATTGCAATATGTTCTATACAAGGCTATTTTTAAGTTACAACTATTTACAGATTTTCTTTCTCATTGTGTTTATTTTTCTTTATCGCTTGTTTTGATTCTTTCCAATTTTAAAGAGTGTTATTTAACATTCCGTCTTTAAAAATGTGATAGCCATGAAGTCTTTGTTTGAGAAAGGTGAGAGGGAGGTTCATCTATAATAAAGATCAACAGTGAAGAGGGAAGAGTGGTGCCCTTTAGTCACTTGCAACATTTTACTACACAATATAGGTAAGGAAGAAGGCTAATCTATAATGAGAGAAACAAAGATTGCAGCTGCCTAGGTTACAGCAGCCTATCATGTGACTCGGGTCTCATAATCACATTCCCTTAGGCTTAAAATATCTTAAAGTTCCAAAAGCTTAGATTTGGAGTCACTTAATTTTTACCTATTTATTATTGTGTTTATCTTCTTGGTAATAACCATTATCCAAGATGGTCCCCATTGATTCTTGCCTCATGTTATTCAAGTTTCTGTGTAGTCCTTTTCCATACTGAATAGAGCTGATCTGTGAGACCAATAGAATATTGCAGAAATAATAGAATGTTGCTAGGTGCTGAGGCTAGGTTATAAAAGGCATCATGGTATCCACCTTACTCTCTGACATCACTTGTTCTGTGGGAATATTCCTTTATGTGCCAGCTTCCATTTTGTGAAGACACTCAATATATTGTACAAAGCAGACCATGTGACAATAAACTACAGTCTCTTGCTGACAATAAAGATGACTTGCCAGACAAATGAGTGATCCACATTAAATGGAAGTGAATTATCTAACCCGACCAAGCCTTCAGATGATTATCGAATGGGCCAACATTGTGATTAAAACCTCATGAGATACTTTAAACCAAAACAGCCACTCCCAAATTCTGGACCGACAGGAACTACCTATTGCTGGTTTAAGTTTTCAGGTAATTATGCAACAATAAAAAATCAATACAGGGCCAGGCACAGTGGCTCACGCCTGTAGTCTCAGCACTTTGGGAGGCCAAGGAGGGCAGATCACGAGGTCAGGGGTTCAAGTCTAGCCTGGCCAACATGGTGAAATCCCGTCTCTACTAGAAATGCAAAAAATTAGCCAGGCGTGGTGGCAGCCACCTGTAATCGCAGCTATTCGAGAGGCTGAAGCAGGAGAATCGCTTGAACCCAGGAGGCAGAGGTTGCAGTGAGCTGAGATCAAGCCATTGCACTCCAGCCTGTACGAAAAAAAAAATCGATACAGATTTTGGTAACTAGAAGTAAGGTCCTGCTTTAAGAAAATTGTTAAATGTGGGAGTGGCTTTTGAACCAGGCAGAAAGTGGGAGATGGAAGAACTTTAAGGAAAGAGCTAGTAAAAGACTGAGGATCTTTAAAGAAACTGGTAAGGAGGCTACAGGCAAGGGCTTAAAGGAATGTGAGGAAAATGTTATTTGGAAGTAGAGGAAAGAAGATTTTTGATAAGGCAGAAAGTTTAGGAACATAGAAAATGTGCCCAATGTGAATGTAGAAAATGTGCCCAAATGAATGGGATAATCTAATCTAGCTCAGTAGATTTCCAGATAGAGTACTGAAGGTGTCACTTGGTTTCTTCTTGCTGCTTACAGTAAAATGGGAGAGGAGAGAGATAAGATAAAGGAAGAATTATTAAATACAAAGAAACAAGGGCTTGCTGGCCATAAAATCGTCTAGCCTCTCCAGGTGGCACATGATGATAAAATTAACGAATGGCTTCCTGGCAAAAATCAAACCCAAAACACTGATGGAAATTGGTCTAATGGTAAAGCCTAGCCTTCATTGAATTGTGATATAAATAAGAAATAAGGCTTTGTTGTATTGAGCCTCTAAAATGTGGAGGTTTCCATTTTGCAGACTGACCCCAATTTAACAATGGTTCAACTTACCTGTTTTCAATGTTATGATGGAGTGAAAGCAATATACTTTCAGTGGAAATCATACTTCAAGTACCCATACAACCATTCTGTTTTTCACTTTCAGTACAGTAGTCAATAATTTATATGAGATATTTAATACTTTATTATAAATTAGGCTTTGTGTTAGATGATTTTGCCCAATTATAGGCTACCATATGTATTCTGAGCACATTAAAGGTAGGCTAGGCTAAGCTATGATGTCTGTTAGGTTAGATATATTAAATGCATTTTCAATGTATGATATTTTCAACCTACAATGGGTTTTTAGGGATGTAACCCCATCATAAGTTGAGGAGCATTTGTTATTGAAAAATAGTCTAGTATATTCTGACCGAATAATGAGCAAAACCAGCAAAGCAGATGAAGAAGGAACAGATTATATCTGAGGTTCTCCAAAAAGCAGTGTGTCAGAGTTACCTTCAGGAACTTTGCCCAAATTCTCATATCCACTTCTCTTCCCCACCCCCACCTTTGAAGAATATCTTTTTTATATGGGTGGTTGATATGGTTTGGCTCTGTGTACCCATCCAAATCTCATGTCAAATTGTAATTCCCAATGTTGGGGGAGGGACCTGGTGGCAGATGATTGGATCATGGGGGTGGATTTCCCCCTTTCTGTTCTCATGATAATAAGTGAATTCTCACAAGATCTGGTTTTTTAAAAGGGTGTAGCACTTCCCCCTTCACTCACTGTCTCTTCTGCCACCATGTGAAGATGTGTTTGCTTCCTCTTTGCCATTTCACCATGATGGTAAGTTTCCTAAGGCCTCCCCAGCCATGCCTCCTGTATAGCCTGCAGAACTCTGAGTCAATTAAACCTCTTTTCTCTATAAATTACCCAGTACCAGGTAGTTCTTTATAGCAGTGTGAGAACGAACTAATACAGAAAATTGATATCAAACAAGTTAGGCGTTACTATAAAGATACCCGAAAATGTGGAAGCTACTTTGGAACTGGGTAATGGGCAGAGGTTAGAGCAGTTTGGAGGGATCAGAAGAAGACAAGAAGATGGAGAAAGTTTGGAACTTCCTAGAGACTTGTTGAATAGTTCTGACCAAAATGCTAATAGTGATACGGACAGTGAGGTCCAGGCTGAGGTGGTCTCAGATGGAGATGAGGAACTTTTGGGGAACTGCAATAAAGGTCACTCTTGCTATGTTTTAGCAAAGAGACTGGCAGCACTGTGCCCCTTCTCTAGAGACCTGTGGAACTTTGAACTTGAGAGAGATGATTTAGGGTATCAGGAAGAGAAATTTCTAAGCATCAAAGTGTTCAAGATTTGGCCTGTCTGCTTCTAAAAGCTGATGCTCATTTGTGTAAACAAAAAAAGACCTGAACCTAGAACTTATATTTTAAAGGGAAACAGAGCATAAAAGATTGGAAAATTTGCAGTCTGATCATGGAGTAGAAAAGAAAAACCCATTTTCTGGAAAGGAATTCAAGACGGCAGAAATCTGCATAAGTATAGAAGAACCAAATATTAATAGCCAAGACAATAGGGAAAATGCCCCCAGGGCATTTCAGAGACCTTTACAGTAGCCCCTGTCACCACAGGCCCTGAGGCCTAGGAGGGAAAAATGATTTCATGGGCCAGGGCCAGGGCCCTGCTGCTCTGTGCATCCTTGGGACATAGCACCCTGTGTTCCCAGCTGCTCCAGCTCTAGCCATGGCTAGTGTGGAGGCCAAGATAACTATAAGATGAATTTAGTTTATAAGTTAAATTTAGTTTATAAACTATACACTTTGAGGCAAGGAAAACTGGCTTGCTTCCTTGTTTGGAGATTGAAGCTGCATTCAAGTTTAGAATCATGGTAGGAGCTCGACCTTTGCTAAAGAATAAGCATAGTTAAACAATAACCTGCCATTGTTTAGCTTTCTTTTCTATAAGTTGCTTATCTGTCTCAGTCATGTAACTGGAGGTCACAAGATTTATAACTTCCCCAACTATTCCTGTAGATAACATCACTATTGTGAAATCTAAAGAGCTGGTCTTTGAGGTATTTTTCAGATTTAGCATTTTGGTAGACCAAGGGACAACACCTCATCCTGAGACCCCCCTCCCTGGAAGTGACTCAGCTGCTTGAAGACAGTTTGAACACCCCTGTCATTTCATCCACAGCCAATCAGTTTTTTCTGTTCCCCAGCCACTTGCCCACCAAAGTACCCTTAAACACCCTAGCCTCCAAATTCTTGGGAAAGCAGATTTGAGAAATACCTCCCATCCATCTGCTTGGCTGGTCTTGTGATCATTAAACTTTTTGTTTGCTGCAATACCTGCTGTTCTCAGTACATTGGCTTTTCTGGGCAATGGGCAAGAAGAACCCATTGGGTTATGACAAAAGTATGGTGCTTTGGCATGTTGAGTACTTTAAACTAAATGAGATTGGAGGACTCAGAAGCTGCTTCAAAAACAAAGTCTCTGATCTTCTCATTCCTTCATGTTTCCCACTCCTCTTTTACCCCCAAAGAGAGTCATAGAAACCAGAATTCCCCTCCCCCAAGGTGGGTCATAAAATCTAAAAATGTTATTCTAACCTCCCCCCACCTTTCTATGTAGAAGCTGGCCATAAAGAAATCTCTGACCTACCTTGACAGATTGTAGACCATTAGACCTTCATTCCAGAAGGAGTCCTGCTCTATGCCCAGAGGAAGGAATGCTACACAGAGAAGCCAAGAAGAATCTGAACAGACAGGCAAGGCTGGGCTCCCTCCCCACCCCCACTCAGTCTATTACCATTAGATTGCACTCTTTTTGTCCAGTTACATTTCTACACAGCTCTCCATTCCTCATCAAATTTAAGCACAAAAATGAATAGTTTTCCCTGGGCTTTGGGTCATTATTTCTGCAGACTCCCTTATGTACAACTTTGATTAAATAAATTTGTTATACTTTCCTCTTGTTAACCTATTTTTTGCTATAGGAATGTCAGCCCTGACCCTTATGATGGGTGAGGAAAGGTATTACACCTTTCCACCTCTACATCTTCAATTGAAGTATGTATTAATGGAAGTTAAACACTTTACTTGTTAGTCACCTGGAAGTCTTTGACAGATCACTGATGGGCATCTGAGTGATACAGTTCTTTATAACATACTAATCAGTCACTCCAACCTCTCCTAGCTTTTGAAAAGTTCTATGTTCTATTCTGAGAGATTTGGCCATTTCTTCCATGTTTAAATTACTTGACTTGTGACAAACAGTCTTCTAGACACAATGTAACTTCACATTTAAACTCTGCATCACAATGCAATCTTTTCAAAGACATTTTAAGCAAAAAATAAGAATACAGAATTAATTTAAAATTCTATTGCCTGTGAAGTTATCGCTGTAGGTATCTCTATTGAGGTGACAATTAAAAACAAGAATCTCTGTAAAAAACTGAGCTTTCACAAGCAAAGACAATAAAAATACAACTCTTTGCCATGGGGACCAGAAAGCTTTTTTTGACATTTGTAAGATATAACCCAATTTCAGAAAATAGGTAGGAAAAAAGGGTGCAGTTTGGAAGGGAAGAAAGAATAACAAATTATTTGATGCTTTGCACAGATCCTGTGCTACTTATTTTACATTTTTAATCTGTTTCTCATTATCTTAAAAATTATTTTTATTTTTCTCTTTGTCCAGTTAAAAAAGTATAAGCTTTAAAAAATGTATCCCAAAGTTACATAGTCACTCACTCACATACCCTAAAAAATGGCAGAAGGAGGAGTTGAACACAGGTGTGTCAAAAGAAAAACTTTGCTTATTCCATTATGTTACCTTGCCTATGAACATAACAAGTGCCATTATGTATATGCTGATTAATTTATTAAATAAAAATCTTCCCATGTTCTGTTAAAACAACTGGCTTACTATAATCTTAAAAAGAAAATCAAAACATTGAAGCAGAAGCATTTTATATTTTATGGTTGTGTAATAATTATACATATGTATAAGGTACATGTGAAATTTTGATACAATTATAAAATATAAGATGATCAAATCAAGGTATATCCATCTCATCAAGCACTTACCATTTCTTTGTGTTAGATACATTCCAATTCTGCTCTTCTAGTTCTTTTGAAATATAAAACATACCATTGTTAACTGTAGTCACCCTATTCTACTACCAAAGATTACATATTAATCTTTCTATCTAACTGTATTATTATACCCATTAATCAATCCATCTTTATCCCCCTCTCTCCCTAATACTCTTCCCAACTTCTGGCAACTGTCATTCTATCTCCATGACATAAATATTTTTAGCTCCCACATATTAGTGAGAACATGAAGTATTTGTCTTTCTGTGCCTGGCTTATTTTACTTAACATAATGTTCTCCAGTTCCATCAATGTTGTTGCAAATGACAGGATTTCATTCCTTTTTATAGCTGAATAATATTCCATTGGGTATATGAACCACATTTTCTGTATCCATTCCTTCATGGATGGACACTTAGGCTGATGCCATATCTTGGCTATTGGCATGGTGAATAGTGCTGCAATAAACATGGAAGTGCAGATATTTCTTTGATATATTGATCTCCTTTCTTTTGAACATATACCCAGTAATGTGATTCCTAGATTATATGGTAGTTTCACTTTTAGTTTTTTTGAGAAACCACCATACTGTTTTCCATAATAGCTATACCAGTTTATATTCTCACCAACAGTGTATGGGTGTTCCCCTTTCTCCACATCCTCCTCAGCATTTGTTATTGCCTCTGCTTTTATAAAAGTCAATGTAACTAGGGTGAGATAATATCTCATTACAGTTTTGATTTGCATTTCTCAAAGCAGAAGCATTTCAGTGATCTCAACATACATATTTCCTTCACCGTCTGACCCCACATTTTTTAACCATCTTCCTTAAGTTCCCATGGAAATAATCCATTTAGTCTATTAGTTATTCATATTTGGGCTAGTTTTTCTTACCTCTATAAAAGCATTTTTTAATAAAATTTTGTAATCATATGAATTTTTCAATATTCTCTTAAAGGGGGCCAGAATAATCCATCCCAAAATATGCTTCTTTGCCATAAGGACTATTTTGAGCTGATTATTTTGAGAAACTGGAGACATAGGAGATGTTCTGAAAACAGAGTAGGAGTTACCCTTTTGTAAAGAAAATTTACATCTATAGAGGAAGTCTCCATTTGTGAGTGTCTCTCTCTGTACCACAAATAAAAGATGACTCTAAATCACTATAGACTCTTAACAATGAAGAACGTATCAACTTAAATCTGCATAACAAACCTTACCTTGTTTACTATGCTTTTTCCAGTGACCTCCTCATTACTGGGCTTCCACACACCCTTTTATTAATGGAATGATATTTAAGTCTGAATTCAAATCTTTGAGATTTACTCATTTCTCTGGGTAGCTACATGTGTACATGAGGTATACATGTTATTAAACTTTTTTTTTCTTATTAATCTTTGTTTTTTGCAGGTGTTGCCCCAAATAACAACTATGAAGAGAGGGAAAATCGTTTTTCCTTCTGACATAGGATTTTTCTCTGTCACTTTGCCAGCCAGAGACCTCCAGCCAGTAATGCCCCTGCCCAGGCCTTGCTCGGGCCCAAGTTTACCACAGGAGATGCTCCATGTATTTGGCCCAACAGGCTGCACCTGGCTTGCACCTTGGTGCAAATCCCATAGCCATCACGACTGTGCACTCAGCCCCTGGTGGGTGGGGGGTGTGTGAGCAAGCGAGTGTGGGGTCCAAGTGCCAGCACAGGGGTGGTCTCCATGCAGGGCTTGCGGCTGGACCAGGCATGTCACAAGCAACTCCCACAGTGGACTCTGGTGTCCATATGAGGTGAACACAGTGGTGCCCAAGCAAGGGTGCCTGTAACCCTGAAACCCCAGTGAGGATATTACAGCATGCTAATTAGTCTTTTAGTCCCACCATCCACAGCCCAACAGACAGTGATGCGTTATTAGCTCTGTCAGCCCTGTTGCCCCACTCCAGCCTGTAGCTCTGAGACTGGCTCAGCCCCACTACTGTTTCTCATCATGTGGGATGGCTGCCCTCTGCCTGTAGAAGACAGAGAACCATAGTGTTAGAGCCTTCTTTGTACCCATGTTCGGTACCCATTCTTTGTACCCATTCTAAGAAAAATGAGGTTACACTGACAGTGAAAGGGTGAGGAGCGTGGAAGAGAATTTTATGAGTGATAAAACAACTCTCAGTGGAGACGGGACATGAGGGTGGTGCCCCACCCAAAGTTGGGTGGTCTCTCTCTCAATGTGGCTGGGTCCAGGGTTTTTATGGGCTCAGAATGGGGAGTGCATGCTGATTGGTTTGTGAGTATGCAGGAAAGGCTAAAACAAAGGCAACACTGAAAGGTGGGCATGACAGAATAAAAAACCAATTAGGAAAGTGTAGGTATATGTAAAATAGGTGAAAGGTGGAGAATCAATCAGAAGAAAGCATGCCAAATGGGAAGACAGGCTCTCAGTCCAGTCTGGATTTACCTGTGACTTGTAGCTAGACTTTAAACTGTTTTTGGCTTCAAGGTCGGGTTTCACCAGGGACCTGGCCCTGTCTGCCTAGGGTTTATCTACCTCCTACTGCCATCACTTCCTTCTCTATACTTCCCTTCCCCTTTTAAAGATATCATCATTAATTTTTAATTTTTCTTGTTTAATTTTTATTTATACATATCAATGTTTTTACCACATTTTAATTCCTTCCAAAATTTTCCTAGGCAATTATCAAACATTGTGTCTATGTGAAAAGAATTCTGAGCTTTTCTTGGTGTGTTATTTTCATAACCTTAAACCAATTTATAAAATTACTCTTTTGTTCTTTGCTTTTGCTATTTTTATCTCAATCTCTTTGCCTGTAGTTTTTCTGTCTATAACTTAATTGAGATTATAGTGAAGAATATCAATTTTTGCTCTTTAAACCTTATTTTACCCTTTTCCTTAAGAAATCTCTTCATTTGGTATTTTTAAAGTCTCATCACTTTCTGACCTCTTCAAAAGAAATCGGACTTCCTTCTTTTAATTATATTGACCTATGTTTCATTTTTTCCTCTTTCCACGAGAATTTGCTAATCTTTCATAAACTCTGCATAATTAATAAATGTTACCATTTCCAGAACATTTAAAAATACAGAGCATATCACAGTATACATTACTATATGTAAATATATATAAATATGTGCATATGTAAGGACCAAAGGAAAATGTCCTCTTTTGCCCCTGAAGGTTCACTGAAAATCAACTGACAAAAGGCAGATAAATAGGAGAAAAGGCATACACATTTTATTTTAACATGCGTAACACAGGCAAGTTTCAGAAAAATGATGATTCAATAACCCAGTGAGGTACAGAAGCTTATATGCCCTTTTTAAAAGGGAAACAGGGATATGGGGAATGTAGACAATTATATGAGGGGCAGTAAATCATTAGGCAGAATAAATGGACTCAGGATGCAGGAAGCAGATATTATGGTGAAGCGGCGTTGTTGTCTGGGGTAAATATCTGAGATTTGTTGTGTCACAGCCACGGAAAAATAGGACATGGATACACCACAGTGAGTTTAAGAGCAGAAGTTTAATAGGTGAAAGAAAGAAAACAGCTCTCTGCACAGAGAGGGGTCCCAGAGAAAATGGGTTGCCACTTCTGCAGTGAAATCCAGAAGGTTTTATAGATGAGCTTTAGGAGGCAGTGTCTGATTTACATAGGCCATGAAAGATTGGTCGGACCAGGCGTGCCATTTGTATAGCACACAAAGAAGCTGGCCGCCCCATCCTAATCTTTTATTATGCAGATAGGTTCTCTACCTGGTCAATGCCATGTTGCCTGTTCCTTTAACATACACACGATGACAAAGAAAAGGGAAGATGGAGCCTCCATGTTGAAAATGCCTGGCTCTCAGGTAGCCCTCTTCTATTTGCACAGCTGCTGACATTTGCCCATGCAGGCTTCCAGTTTGCTTATCTATGTCTGAAGCTCAATTTTTCAGGCTGCTCTTCATTAGAAAATAAATGATTTTGGGGCTGCTTTCTGAAAAAAAAAAAAGAAAGAAAAGCCTTGCCGAGAACTCCTTTACCATCACTGTCTGCCTAAATAATTTCTTTCTAGCTCTTGTATCAATGGGATGGTGAGGGGTTCATCTGCACAGGATCAAAAGTTGTCTTATTATGCAGATAAAGTCTTCCAAATAATCTCTTGTAGCTGCCCTCAGAAAAATAAATAAAAAATCTATCTGGGTGTAGTGATGACTCCCAACCTCTACTTGCATTTCTTTTGGAAAGACTCTCTTGGTCAGATAAGGGAATTACAGAGTGTCCCTCCTTGCACTTCAAGAGTTTGGGGGAAGTAGGCTAACAAGACAAGGTTAAAGGTACCTTGATCCTGAAGCAGCTTCTAAGACCTCTTAGTATGTTAACGCACCAGTCTCTAGAGTATCACTTTATGAGCCCCAGTACGTATTTTGATGCTACTGTTTACTTCCTTTTTATATCTCTCAACTAGACTATTAACCAGTCTAGTCAAACATACTTAGTGTTCTATTCTTTACAGCATATTGTAACTACTATGTTTCAGAGATTTTCTTACCTATGTGAACCCAAAATATCTGAGACAGGTCTCAGGCAATTTAGAAAGTTTATTTTGCCAAGGTTAAAAACACTCCTGTTACACAGCCTCAGGAGGTCCTGAGGACATGTACCCAAGGTGATCAGGGCACAGCTTGGTTTTATACATTGTAGGGAGACATGAGACATCAATCAATATCGGTAAAATCTACATTGGTTTGATCCAGAAAGACAGGACAACTTGAAGCAGGGAGAAGGCTTCCAGGTCATAGGCAGATAAGAGACAAACAGTTGCATTCTTTTGAGTTTCTGATTAGCCTTTCGCTGAATACACAGTTTACAGAAATAGTCACTTATGCCTTGGTCTGGCTTAGTGAAACAATAAGGCAAAGGAAATAGTCAGATATGCATTTGTCTCACATAAGCAGAGGGATGACTTTGAGTTCTGTCTGTGACTTTTGAGTTCTGTCTGTCCTTTGTCCACAAGGAATTTCCTTGTGGGCAAATGGTGAAGGAGGTAGGTAGCTTTGTTTGTTTATTGTTTGTTTGTTTTGTAGCTATCTTATTTAGGAATGAAATGGGAGGCAAGTTTGCCTGCCACAGTTCCCAGTTTGACTTTTCCCTTTGGCTTAGTGATTTTGGGGTCGTAAGATTTATTTTCCTTTCACAGTTATGTGCATCTCTGTTATCTTATTCCAAGATACAGCTAAAATTCCCAACCCAGAAAGACTCTAAACTCTGAATTTACCCCTTTCCCTTTCTCTTTACAAGTTCAATATGTGAACAGTTACAAATCTGACCCATTCCATTCCTGAGCTCATTTCCGTGATTATACATCTGCAACCCAGGACTCAGATATTTTGAATATCTGTGTTCCACAAACCCAGCATTTTTGAAGCATTAATTTAACAAATATGTACCAATTATCACTGATTTTTCAAGCCCTGTATTGTGTGCTGAGCATAATAGAGTGTTAGCCACTGTTTAAAACACCTCATAGATGTTAGATCACATCAGTGCTCTCTAGCTAAAGACCAGTAAGAAGCCCCTGGCCACAATGGAGATGTGGAGCCCATCCTTGCCATGAAGAAAGAGCAAACCACAAAGGAGGCAGAATGCTTCTGCTCTCATCAGTCTTTTTTTAAAGCCTTGCCTTTCTCTGACAATTAGACAAGAATTTCAGCCACATATTTAGGTAGAGATTACCAACTCCCTTTTTTTCTTTTTCCCTTCTTTGAATGACCTTGAAACAGAAACCGATGCAGCTGTCTCTTATGATAAACTCTATCCTTATTTATCACAGAAACTCTTTTACACAGAAAACTCTGTTGTTTCTTTATATATCCAAAATGTCTAACTGAACATTTCACTAGATAAATAATGGAGCCACATCTATTGCATATCTGGGCAGCCTTCCTTCTTTGTTACTAAAGCAAAAATATAACAGAACTTAGTAAGATATTTGATTATCTAAATGCTAATAGATTAGAAATGATTTAAAAGAAAAATTCTTCAGATTATGGCTGGACACAGGTGGCTCATACTGTAATCCCAGCACTTTGGGAGGCCAAGGCGGGCAGATCACCTGAGGTCAGGAGTTCAAGACCAGCCTGGCTAACATGGTGAAACCCCATTTCTACTAAAAGTACAAAAACTAGTTGGGTGTGGTGGCGGGCACCTGTAATCATAGCTACTTGGGAGGCTGAGGTGGGATAATCGCTTGAACTCGGGAGGCAGAGGTTGCGATGAGCCAAGATTGCACCATTACACTCCAGCCTGGGTGACAAGAGTGAAACTCCATCTCAATACATACATACATACATACATACATACATACATACATACATACATACATAGAAAAGAAAAATTCTGAGATATGTATTTAACAGTGTTATGGAATCCATAATCCATATTATTCTTCAGTTTTGGGGGAAAGTGAGAGAAGTAGTTGCCTATAGAGAAAGAATTCTGGGCTCACTGTATCTAGAGTACCTCAGCAGTTCCCAATGATGCGTTTTCCATGTTACTTCTATTTATGTGGGGCCTACACCATCCTTCTATTCTCTCTTCCCTTATTTTCATTAGAAGTTGAGAAAGTCTCTGTAGCAAGTAGAAGTCTTGTTTTTATAATAATAAGGTAAGTTGAGGCATAAAATCTGCATATGCTAAGCTCTCATATAATGTGACTCTAGACAGGCACCTAAAAAAAGATGAATTAGAAAGTCCATTTCTCTGATACATTTTTTAAATCTTGGACAAATTCCCAGATCATAGGGCCAATTTTGCCATTTCAGTTACATGGGAGTTCAGGTTATCAGGTGTCTTAGAATGTTTTACATTATTGCCCCTCATAACCAAGGGTCCCCAACTAAAGCCATATTAGTCATCCCTATAGAAAAGGCATTCATCACCTGCTGTCATCATGGAAGTACTCCAGACAGCAACATGCATCCTTTGCTATGCAATGACTGCTGAAACATGGACAACGCTTCAGAGAATAAAGCCTCAGATAGGGATAAAGTAAGAAAGGTCAGGAGCCTATAAGGCACCAACCAATTTTTAGGTTATAGATTAAATGAAAAATTAACTCTGTAACTCACATGTGCTATTTATAAAAATACGACTGATTCTTAGCTGTCCCTTGGAGGGTAACTGAGACACTTCTTTCACACCACAAAGTACTGCATATGTTGTTACTGTGGACCCCTATTTTTTAGCAGTTAATCAAATGGATAAGGCAAGAAGCACATCTTCCCTAAGAAGCAAATGCCACTGTGTTCCTACTGACTGTTGCCTTGGGGATGAGGGTGGGAAGCAGAAGCAAGTGTGTCTCCACCAGGATAATGCTCCCAGTGCTTATTGCAAATCAGAACAGACCCTACAGCCCCTACTGCCCAAATGCCAAGTGTATTGTTCTCTTGGGTATAGTTACCTGAAAGAAATATAAACGTTTGACACCTGGCTTACTATAGTGACAAGAAAAGACATTTTCTCTACATTATTTAATAAAATGTCAGGTGCCAGAGAATGAAGAAAAAGCATTGAAATATTTGGAAGACAAAGTCCCATCAAGGAATATTTTATGCTTAGTGCCAACATGGCAATAAAGAAGTCTGGAAAATATATGCATTAGGTAAGGACAATCTGTTCTCAAGCTTTTGTATGACCAGAAAAAAGAGACAGTAGTAATTAAATGAATGACTTAAATCACAAGGTGGCAAGATAATAAACCTCTAGACAAAATTGAAAATGTTCTTGCTTTCAGCTTTCCACTATACCAATTCTGTTTCACTCTCTCCCCTGTGACTGACAGCTGTCTTGAGTCAAAGTCCACAGTGTGGTGCCTCTCCAGCTTGCAGTGTTCTTCCACACTTCTCACTCAACTTCCCCTACCTTTCAAAATTTAGAAATACAATAGCCGAATCTCTTCTCAAAGTCAGCTTTCTGCTGACTCATTGTGTGTGGATAATGCCAATCATGGGAACTGGATCTACTCCATTTTCTTTCCTACTCAAAGGTACCATAAACCTGTATTCAAACCTGACCTTCTATTCTCTCGTGGACAAAAGAATGCTACATCTGAACAGATGAGAGCCCCTCTGAAACATTCTCATAATGTCATAGACAGAGCTGCCTGATACTATCTTGTCTTTTTTATGAGCTCATCTTTAGTATTTAGGTTGCAGAGGTACTGTGATCAATGAATTTCTATTGTCCAAAATATGAGAATCTCCAAAACAGATCAAGTTGATAATTGAATATATAACTAGATATGGGAAAAATATTAAATATGCATTGCCAAAAAAATATTTAAACTATTAAAAAAAGAAAGTCTTATGAAAATCTTATAGGATACCAAAGAATAGAAAAGTCCTAAGAACAATTTTCTCAAATTTTAGTATTATGAAATCATATGATCAAATGTCCAAAACAACATTATAAAAACCTGCAATCTACTTTTCTGTGATTGTACTAGTGTACAGGAAAAAACTCTTCTCAAACCATGTTTTTCTTCTACTCTCACACCACAAGAGTCATCAACACAGAAGAAGGCTTTTGTGACCAAATGTGTGGCTTTATTTTCCCCACACACCAAGCAGCAGACACCAGCTGCGTGCCCTCTAATTCAGTTCTGACACTACTACCCGGAGATAGTGTCAGATGCCACAGGTTGAAGGCTCAGTCCCCATGACTGGCCCCCTCTCTGCCCCCAACACACCAGTTGCAAGTCCAGGCCGTCAGAACTTCCAATGGACTAGCTTCAAGTTGGGGTTCCCATGACCCCCTCTTTGGGTTTGATTAGTTTGCTGGAGTGGCTCACAGAGCTCAGGGAAACACTTACTTATGTTTACCAGTTTATTATAAAGGATATCACAAAGGATACAAATGAAGAGATGTGTAGGGTGAGATTTGGGGGAAGGGGCATGGAGCTTCTATGCCCTCCCTAGGTGCACCACCCTCCAGGAACCTCCGCGTATGCACCTATCTGGAAGCTCACTGAACGCTGCCGTCTTGGGGTCTATGGAAGCTTCATGATGTCAGCATTCCTTCCCCAAGGGTATAGGGCGGGACTCTTTCATGAGAGGGACTTAAGACCCACAACCAGAAAGGAGGGGAGCTTTGGAGTCCTGCATTGAGGCAGGTGAAAGGAGGGCAGAAGGTCAGAAGCCTGCCCCTGAGACCTAACACCTCCAACCTTATAACAGAAGACTGTTAACAAGGGCTACGGGAATTATGAGCCAGGAACCACGGATGAAAATATATATCATAACACCACAACTAGTAAAACAATATGGCTGTGAAAATCCAAACTGTTGTACTCTTATTTATTTTGAATCCTTTCAGATTAATTAGATCATTTAATTTGGTAGGAAATGTAAACAGTATAAGGACAAACCAAGTCTTTCTCCCAGCACAGACATCCATCTCATTCCCATGTCCCAGAGTCAACAATTATTACCAAATGTCTTGTGTGAACATATAGAAATAGTCTGTGCAAATATATAAGCCTAGTACTGAAAAGATTGCCTAACATAGTCCTGCTGGTTGTATCCTCATAGCAACCTAAGTACATATTTTTAAAAGAAAAAATATATTCATTTTCTCAGACAATGCAATTGAGGCAAAGATAACATTAAGTAACTTGTTCACAGTCCCACATTTTATAAGCAGTGGAATCATAATTCCACCATTGAAAGCCCAACTCTAGACATCATATGCTTAATCACAAAGCTCTACTGCCTCTCAGTAGGCCTTGTAATTTCATATCAGATACCATTATGCATATCTTTTCATTTTATATTCAACAAGTGCAACAAATGAGTAACCAAATTAATTTTACACATTTGTATGAGAATACCTGCATGTGTTTTACAAAACCTGTTCTCTGTGTCTGTAAAAATATGTATGTTAGGAATGCAAGAAACTTGTCATGTATGAGATTAGTTATTAAGTCTTCTGTACAATCACATTTTATGCCTATGTTGGGGCTCAGAAAACAACATCCCAAAACATCGTGCCTTGACATGAGGAACTAAAGAAGCAGGCTTAAGATTTCTCTGACCTTCCAACCCTTCCTGCCTCTCATTCCTCTGTCTCTCCACGAAAGCACAGGATAAGGCTCTTCTCTGAAGTTTCTTTATTTGCCTAGAAATCATCTAACCTGCCAAAGAGGAACACAACTGCCTTTGATCCACCCTCTAAAATTTTACTAAACAAAGAAAACTTAAAGTCAGATCACAGCGGAAGAAACTGAAAATTAAACGCTAGATCTAGAGCCCAGAAGAACTTTGTTCCAAACTATTTTCTGTTCCCCCATCCCCATCAGTTTACAAAAAGAATCATTTACAAACTATTGTCTGGCCCATTCCATTTTCTTAAAAATCATTTTCCACCCCCTAAAATTACCTACATTCTCCACATCTCCCCTATGAAGGAGAAGAGTATATAAGATTCTAAAACTCATTGAGTGGTTGGGTAATCATTCTCCTGTGATTTTCCACCTGTGCACCTTAATTAATTTGTACACCTTTTCTCCTGTTAATCTGCCTATTATCGGTTCATTTCAGTTAACTTTCAGAGGGCAAAAGGGCTTTCCCTACTGGGTATATACCCAAAGGACTATAAATCATGCTGCTATAAAGACACATGCACATGTATGTTTATTGCAGCACTATTCACAATAGCAAAGACTTGGAACCAATCCAAATGTCCAACAATGATAGACTGGATTAAGAAAATGTGGCACATATACACCATGGAATACTATGCAGCCATAAAAAATGATGAGTTCATGTCCTTTGTAGGGACATGGATGAAATTGGAAATCATCATTCTCAGTAAACTATCACAAGAACAAAAAACCAAACACCGCATATTCTCACTCATAGGTGGGAATTGAACAATGAGAACACATGGACACAGGAAGGGGAACATCACACTCTGGGGACTGTTGTGGGGTGGGGGGAGGGGGGATGGATAGCTTTAGGAGATATACCTAATGCTAAATGACGAGTTAATGGGTGCAGCACACCAGCATGGCACATGTATACATATGTAACTAACCTGCACATTGTGCACATGTACCCTAAAACTTAAAGTATAATAATAATAAAATTTAAAAAAATAAAAAAATTTAAAAAAAGGGCTTTCCCTTCTTTCCTGTACCTTATTTAGAGAGAGTATATAATATTGGAATTGAGTTCCATTATCTGCCGGCTCTCAGTTACACCTTTATCATAACCCTTTTATTTGCTCCTAAGTGCAATCAAGGCTCTCAATAGAAAGCAAAAGTAGCAACATCATCATCTGAAAATAAAAAATGTATTATATTTGCTGTAACAGAATTAAAAGCTACAATAAAAAGCGGGAAGAATTTACTACAATGCCACTACATTTAATAGTCTCCTATTTTGAAATTACTATCATTTGAGATATATACTCCTCACCTTTCATAGGGATTAATAATATGTAGTTCCTATATATACAGGGCTCACCAGCTTGAAATGCAAATAAAGTAATACTAATATTAATCTTCTAGATAATATTTGTTCTGAGGAACCACCTGCTAGCTGGCAGAAAATTAGCCCAAAGCATTGCCTTTTTTATATATTTCTGGGTACGTAGCAGGTGTATATACTTATGAGGTACATGAGATACTTTGATACAGGCATGCAATGCATAGTAATTACATCATGGTAAATGGGATATCCATCCCTTCAAGAATTTAACCTTTGTGTTACAAACAATTTAACTATACTCTTTAAGTTATTTTAAAATGTATGATCAAATTATTATTTACTGTAGCCACCTTTTTGTGCTATCAAATACTAGGTCTTATTCATTCTTTCTTGCTATTTTTTTATATTCATTAACCATCCCCACATTGATTGATTTGCATATATTGAACCATCCTTGCTTCCCTGGGATAAATCCCACTTGGTCATGTTGAATGATCTTTTTAAGGTGTTGTTGAATTCAATTTGCTAGTATTTTGTTGAGGATTTTTTAATCAATGTTCATCAGAAATATTGGCCTATAGTTTTCTTTCTTTCTTTTTTTTTCATGTGTCTTTGTCTGGTTTTGGTATCAGGGTAACACTGGCCTTGTAAAATGAGTTTGGAAGTATTCCCTCCTCCTCTTCTTCTTGGAATAGTTTGGATAGGATTCCTATTAGTTCTTCTTTAAATATTTGGTAGAATACAGCAGTAAGCCATTGGTTCTCTGGCTTTACTTTGCTGGGAGACTTTTTATTACGACTTCAAACTCATTACATGTTATTGGTCTGTTGAGGTTTTGGACTTCTTCATGGTTCAATCTTGGTAAGTTGTTTGTGTCTAGGAATTTGCACATTTCCTCTGCATTTTCCTCTTTTTTTTGGCATACAGTTGCTCATAGTAGCCAATATTGATCCTCTGAATTTCTGCAATATCAGTGGTAATGTTTACTTTTTCATCTCTGATTTTATTTATGTGGGTTTTTCTCTTTTTTTCATAGTCTGGCTAAAGGTTAGACAATTTTATTTATTATTTTGGAAAGCCAACTTTTAACTTTGTTGATTTTTTTGTATTGTTTTCTTCATTTCGGTTTTTTACTTCTGTTCTGATCTTTATTTCTTTTCTCCTATTAATTTTAGGTTTGGTTTGTTCCTGCTTTTCTAGCTCTTTCAGATGTGTCATTATGTTATTTATTTAAGCTTTTTATTCTTTTTTGATGTAGGCACTTATAGGTATAAACTTACCTCTTAGTGCAGCTTTTGCTGTATCCCATAGGTTTTGGTATGTTTTGTTTCCATTATCATTGGTTTCAAGAATTTTTCAATTTCCTTCCTTCCTTCCTTCCTTTCTTCCTTCCTTCCTTTCCTTCCTTCCTTTCCTTTCTTTCTTTCTCTCTTTCTCTCTTTCTTTCTCCTTTCTTTCTTTTTTTTTTGGTAGGGTCTCACTCTGTCACCCTGGCTGGAGTGCAGTGGCATGGCCTTGGCTCACTGCAGTCTTAACCTCCCAAACTCAGGTGACCCTCCTACTTCAGCCTCCCAAGTAGCTGGGATTACAGGCACATGCCACCAACACTTTTCTTAATTACTTCATTGATCCACTGGTCAATTCAGGTGCATACTGATTAATTTCCATGTATTTGTATAGGTTCCAAAATTTCTCTTCTTATTAATTTCGAGTTTTATTCCACTGTGGTCAGAGAAGATACTTGATATTATCCAACTTTTTTCAATGTAGTAAGAACTGTATTGTGACCTAACATATGGTTTATCCTTAAGAATGATCCATGTTCTCAGGAGAAGAATGTGTATTCTGCAGCTATTGGATGAAATGCTCTGTAAATATGTATTAGGTCCAATTGTTCTGTAGTACAGATTAAGTCCAATGTTTCTTTGTTGATTTTCTGTCCAGATGATCTGTCCAATGCTGAAAATGGGGTGTTGAAGTCTCCAGCTATTACTGTATTGAAGTCTGTCTCTCTCTGTAGCTCCAATAATATTTGCTTTATGTATTTGGGTGCTCCAGAATTGGGTGCATATGTATTTACAACTGTTATATCCTCTTGCTGAATTGACTCCTTTGTCATTATATAATGACCTTCTTTGTCTCTTATAGTTTTTGTCTTGAAATCTATTTTGTCTGATATAAGTATCAGATATAAGATACACTTGGCCTTTTCTGATTTCCATCATCATGGAATATTGGTTTTCATCCCTTATGTGTGTCTTTGTAAGTGAAGTGTGTTTCTTGTAGGCAACAGATCATTGGGTCTTGCTTTTTTATCCTTTCAGCCACTCTATATCTTTTATTAAGAGGATATAGTCCATTTACATTCAATGTTATTATTGATAAGTAAGTACTTACTCCTGCCATTTTATTATTTGTTTTCTGATTTTTTTTTTTTGTCTTCTCTCCCTTCTTTTCTGCCTTCCTAACTTTTAATGAAGATTATTTTCTCTGGTGGTGTGATTTAATTTCTTGCTTTTTGTGTGTGTATCCATTGTATGTTTTTTTCACTTGAGGTTACCATGAGGCTTGCAAATGCTGTCTTATACCAATTATTTTAAACTGATAACAACTTAACATGGATTGCATAAACAACCAAGCAAAAAGAAAACTAATAAAAACTCTACACTTTAACTTCCTCCCTCCACTTTTTAACTTTTTGTTGTTTCTTTGTATGTCTTACTGTGTGGTCAATGTCTTGAAAAGCTGTAATTTTTTTGATTGGTTCATCATTTAGTCTTTCTACTTAAGAGTACTTTACACACCATAATTACAATGTTATACTATTCTGTGTTTTTCTGTGTGCTATTACCAGTGAGTTTTGTACCTTCAGATGATTTCTTATTGCTCACTAAAATCCTTCCCTTTCATATTGAAGTACTCCCTTTAGCATTTCTTGTACGACAGATCTGGTGTTGATAAAATCCCTCAGCCTTTGTATGTCTAAGAAAGTCATTATTTCTCCTTCATGCTTGAAGGATGTTTTCACTGGGTATATTATTCCAGGGTAAAAGGTTTTTTCCTTCAGCACTTTAGATATGTCATGCTGTTCTCTCCTGGCCTATAAGGTTTCCACTGTAAAGTTTGCTGCTACGTGTATTGAAGTTCTATTGCACCTTATTTGTTTCTTTTCTCTTGTTGCTTGTAGGATCCTTTCTTTATCTTTAACCTTTGGGAGTTTGATTATTAAATGCCTTGAAGTAATTTTATTTGGATTTAATCTTCTTGGTGTTGTGTAAACCTCTTGTTCTTGAATATTGATATCTTTCTCTAGGTTTGAAAAGTTTTCTTATATTATTCTTTTGAATAAGCTTTCTACCCCTATCTCTTTCTCTGCCTCCTCCTTAAAGCCAATAATGCTTGGATTTGTCCTTTTGAGGCTATTTTCCAGACCTGGTGGACATGCTTTATTCTTTTTTCTTTTGTCTTCTCTGACTGTATATTTTCAAATAGCCCGTCTTCAAGCTCATTAATTCTTTCTTCCACTTGATCAATTCTGCTAGTAAAAGACTCTGATGTACTCTCCAGTATGTCAATTGCATTTTTCATCTCCAGAACTTTTGCTTGATTCTTTTAAATACTTTCAATATGTTTAGTAAATTTATCTGATGGAATTCTGAATTCCTTCTCTGTGTTATCTTGAATTTCTCTGAGATACGTTTACTCAAGGCACTGGGACTCTACACTCAACAGATTGTAAAACCAACCAGGATTGTGTCCTTCCCTTTGGGGCAGTGAGTTCACCCAAGGCCTGGACAGGTTCAGAAATGCTATATGGGAACTAGTGGTTAGAATCAAAAGCCTTACAAATTTATCTGATATTCTATTATTCTGTGGCTGCACTGGCACTCAAACCACAAGACAAAGTTCTTCCTGCTCTTCTCCTTTCCACAGGTAGTTGAGTGGCTGCCACCACCACCACCAGCCCACGTGGGATTCTACCAGGCCACTGCTGAAGATCACTTAAAGCCCAAGGGCTCTTCAGTCAGCTGGTGGTGAATGCTGCCAGTCCCTGAGGGATTCACTTCTCAGGGCAGTGGGCTCCCTCCGGCCCAGGCCAGGTCCAGAAATGCTGTCTAAGAGCCTAGGGCTGGACTCAGGGACCCCAAGAGCCCACATGGGGTCAGTGTTGTACCCCACTATGGCCAAGGTGGTAGCTAAGGTACAAGAAAAGTAAAGAGGACTTTATTTTCTTTCTACTTTTCTCAAGCAGAAGGAGTCTCTCCCTATAGCCACCACAGCTAGGAATGTACTGGACCACACCTGAAGCCAGCATGTCTCAGAGCCCAACTCCTATAGCATACTACATGGGTATCCATGTTTGTTATTTAGGGTCCAAGGGCTCTTTAGTCAGCAGGTGATGAATCCTGCCAGGACTGAGTCCTTTCCTTCAAGGCAGTGGATTCCCTTCTGGCCCAGGGTGTATCTAGAAATGTTATCTGTGAGCTAGGGCCTGGAATGGGGGCCTCACAACTCTGCCTGGTGCCCTGTCCTACTGTGGCTCACCTGGTATCTAAGGTGCAAGACAAAGTCATCTTTACTTTCCTTTCTCCTCACCTCAAGTGGAAGGAAGCGATCACTTTTGTTGCTGCTAGCTTCACTGGCTGGGTTGGGGAAGGGTGGCACAAGTACATTGCTATTCTTCGTCCCCTCCTGTATTTCTCAAGGAGTCCATGGCAATAGTAGTGTCTCAAAGATGAAACTATAGCCTAGTGATGAGTAGGAGAAATGGGGTGTTATTTGAATAATGGCATGGTGATATAAAATAGCAACAAGTACCTATGGAACCAAATAGTTTAAAATTGAGAAAGAATGTGTAGCACAACAGAAGAGGAATATTCCTTGAATAAAAAGACAGTATAATACAACTGGGACATATAAAGTTGTATTAATAACAAATAGTATGAAAATTATAGTGATGATTAAATAAAACAGAAAAGATCCTGATAAGGAAGTGCAGGATAGTACAGCTTTAAATGTTAGCACTTGCATAGAGTGATAGAGGAACAGAGGTTTCTCCAAAGGTAAGAGCTCACTTTGCCATTCTCATATGGTGTTTATATTCCTCTACCTGCTCCCATCCCAAATGTTTCATACAACTACCCCAACTTCCCCCAAGACTCCAAAATCATGTCTGCCTGCTCTCGATCTGGTGAGACATAAGCTCATAACTTTTTGGCAAGAATTTCCTGTTTGACTAGGTGAAGTCAAGGTCAGTTTCTAGGCATAATATCCTCCAGTCTTGGATTCAGACTTTACTGATATCTATGCCTAATCCTTCTCTAATCAGAAATTCCATATCGCATAGTAATAACTCACGAGATATAACATAGCTTACATATCAAGTAAACTAGAATAAATATTGAACTATCTCAACAGAGGAAGGAATTATATAAATCAAATAAAGCAAAGCACTGTGCCTTCCTTTTATAACTGAATAATTTGCCCTTTTCAACTTTGTGGGAAATCATTCACCAATCAATTTACTCACATTTGACGGTTTGATTTCTTTGGGAGACAATTCTCTATGACATTTTTAAATGATTATTTTTTAATTGAAAAATGAGAATTGTATGTAGAATCTAAAAAATTCTGAACTCATAGAAGTAGAGAGTATAATGACGCTTAACAGAGGCTTAAAGAAGTGGGAGGGGGCAGTAAGGGAGAAAATGGGGAGTTGTCAGTCAAAGGGTACAAAGTTTCAGTTAAACAGAAGAAATAAGTTTTGAGATCTATTGCACAGAAGGGTGACTATAGTCAATAACAATTGTCTTAGTCTGTTTTTGTTGCTTATAACAGAATACCTGAATGAAACTGGGTAATTTTTGAGAAACAAAATTTGTTTCTTACAGTTCTGGAGGCTGGAAAGTTCAAGGCCAATGAGCCATATATGGTAAGAACCTTCTTGCTGTTGGAGACTCTCTGTAAAGTCCCATGGTAGCACAGGGTATCACATGGCAAGAGGGCTGAATGTGTTAGCTCAGATCTCTCTCCCTCTTCTTATAAAGCCAACAGTCCTGCTCCTATGATAACCTGTTAGTCCATTAAGCTATTAATCCATTAATTTATGAATGAATTACATTTCTCCACACTGGAAATTAAATTTCAACATGAGTTTAGAGGGTACAGATATTCAAACCATAGCAACAATGTATTGTATATTTCAAAATAACAAAAACAATACATTTCAAAAGTCTCTCCAGGACATTTTTTCCCATCTTGTATGAGCTTTTTGTTCAGAAGTATCCCATAATGGTAATGTAGAGCAAACAGACATGGAAGACAGAGATAGTGTCTCCCTCCGGGGTGCAGGAAAGATTTATTTTCTGATCAAGATAATTAGAATAGTTATCTTAATTATCTTAATCTTAATTATCTGAATTATCTTATTTATCTGGCTTGGTAGCAGCATCTTCAAAGGATTAGGTTCTCCTAATCTCACAGGGTTCCTCAACTGCAGCACAAATACACCATGTGTGCAGCGTTCATTTGGTCCTGCCTCTGTGTCACCCCCATGGAAGTTGGGAGGTAAGGAGAACACATGCAAACATGAAGTTCATGCTGCCTGCTATGCCATGAGTAACAACACCCTTTGTCTTTGACCCAGGAATTTTGTGTCTTCTGTCAGCAACTGTGAGACTGTGGCAGGCTAGCTAACTTGTTAGCATCCAAACACAGTAATATCACAGCTCCTTCACAGTTCTTGACAGGCTTTCCTCTAATACAATTATTAATAATATGTGTCTTCATTAAATATCATCATGGACATCTCACAGATAAAACAAGTTGTAATTTAATCATTGTTTTCAATTTGTCACTACTTCTAGCAGTTTCTTTCCAGACTTGCATTTTTATCCTTTCATGTACTTTCCAAAAGCATCCTTGTTTTTGACAATGATAAAATGTTTGTAGACTTACTTAGAATATTAAAATATAGATTTTCTTATTCTCTAAAAAGCTCTGATACTATTTAAAGGAAAGTATTGAAGATCAAAATCTGGACACTAGAGCAGGCATAATGATATCATAGCATAGCAGAAAAATTACCCTATTTGTCTAAAGCTCACAAATTCATGCTTATAAAATGTCTTTTTATATTCCTCTAGAATGAGAGTTTATTAATTTATTTTTTCTCACTACCTTTGAGGTTTTGTATTATCATGTTATACCATGTATTCAAATTATAGTGTGCCCTCCTCCATCTCTTTGGAGGTTTCTATTTTGTTTTTTATTTAAGGTCTTTGGGTTGGTCAAAGAGTACAGATTCAAATAACATATCATACTGGTATCTCCAAGAGTGAAAGAAACCTTCAACTTCCATCGGTTCAATTTCAAGCAATAGAGAGCCTCTTGTGAAAAAAGCCAAAAGGAATTCAGTGCTTCCAAAATCCTTTTAACAGCTGGCAGAGTTGATTCTAGGATAAGTTTCCAGGAATAACTAGAACCACATCACAGAACTGGTCTATCAAGGGACTGCCCTCCAAGAACAGTAGTTGCCATGGTTTGCATGTCCCCTCCAAAACTTATATTAAAATTCAATTGTTATTGTAACAGTATTAAGAGGTAAGGCCTTTAAGAGGTAATTAGGCCATAAGGGCTCTGGTTTCATAAATGGATTAATGTCATTACCATGGGAGTGGAGGGTTGGTTATCACAGGAGTTGCTTCCTGATAAAAAGAATGAGTTAAATCCAATTTCCTCTTTGTCTTGCACGCCCATTTGCCATTCCGACATGTTACAGTGCAGAATGAACACCCTTGACAGATGCTGGTATCATGCTCTTGGATTTCCCAGCCTCTGAAACTGTGAGAAATAAATGACTTTTCTTTATAAATTACCCAGTCTCTGGTATTCTGTAACAACAACAGAAAATGAACTAAAGACAGTAGGGTCGCTGAGGAAATGGGAAGCCATTATTTCCAACTATTGCTTTCCCAAACACACTACCTTAGCTGTGATCTGGAGATCGAGACTCCACAGCTAGGACTGCTTTCTGATGGAAGACATAGTCTTACCTAAGATAAAGTCTTACCAGAAGGTACCAACAGAACTGTTGGCTTATGTTGAATGCTGCCTTACCTTCAATCTGGGGACCAGGAAGCCATTGCCATAGCTGATGTCGCCAGAGCTATATAGCATCTGCTGAATCTGCAACAGACATCTAAGGTGACACCATCTCCCTAAATAAAACAGTACAGATTCAAACCTTACACAAATGCATGTGATTGGCAGAAATCAAACCACTCCTCAAAAGAGAGCTATAAGAAAATATTAGTGGGAAAGTATGAATTTCAAACTTTAACATACAAAAAGCTCAATGGAATGGAATTGGAAAGATGTTGAGTGAGTTACTCTGTTATTTACCATGATTCTTACCTCTGGCTACATCAATATATATCATTCTTTCCATTATTAACTTTTGACATTAGCAATGAATTATCTTCTTAAATTTTTTTTTCTTCTTCCAGTTTAAATCCAGTGTCATCAGAATGACTAACAAGTGGCAATCTGGCTTCCTTATAATTCTCTGAATTAATTCCCTTACATTTCACACACACACACACACACACACACACACACCATTTTTTTCTAGCCATTCTTGTCTTCTAGTTGTTCAATATGTCAAGCACGCTCCCACCTCAGGGCCTTACTGCCCACTCCCCACCTGGAATGTCTTCTCCTGCTATTCAAAAGGCTCCTTACCTCATGTCCTTCAGGATATGTTACTTCAAATGTCACCAAATCAGTGAGGCCTTTCCTGCTCAATTTACCTAAATTGTATCCCCCTCAACTTCCCTCACTAAGAATCTCCCAATCCTTTTCTACTTTTTATAGCACTTAACATCATGCTAGCACTCTATGCGTTTTCTCTATTTATGGTATTTATTGTCTTCTCTCCCCACTAAGATGTAGACCCTTGAGTGCAATGCTTATACTTGTTAATTGTGATACTTCCAGTACTTAGAACTGTACCTGGCCTATAGTAGATGGTCAATTAAAAATTAACAAATGAGAAAATAAGGAATGGAATAAACACTAATTGCTCCTACATAACATAATGCATATGTAGCAAAAAAATGTAACTGTCTTCCTCTTCTCTGGGTAAAATCAGTCGTTATATTATTTTTTGAGAGCTGTTCTTTTTTCCTTTATCTCGGTCACAATTTTGTCTTGAAATATTTGGAGTGATTCACTAAATAATAAACTTACCTACCACCAACACACATACAAAATGTGGGGAAATATAAGAAAAAAGGGAAACTGATTAATACTCATAAATGCATAGTAAATCAAGGAGAAAATACAGATATCTTATTTAGTCTTGGTCTTTGCAGCTGGACACAGACTGTAATTAGTATTTATGATGCAATTAGTATTTCTAACTTCATTATTCTGCTACCTATTTGATGTTTCCTTTGACCTCAGTCAGCACTCCAGCTGATCAAGTTTTGTTACCTGACATGTGATTCTAACCTTCATTCCTGAGGTATCTGAATCCTAAATGTCCTCCTCCCGTGTGGTTGCTGCACCTTTAATTAAATTTTACCTCTTCAATATTTGTAGGTTCTGGGAGGATTTCCTGGATCTTAGACATACACTTCCATGCTTCTTTGTGTAGTAGCTATCCTGTGTCCCCTTGGTAATCAGGATTAGTTATCATTACCCAGTGGGTTTTTCCTGCCTTCTTCCCCCAACAAAATTAATTTACTGAAACCACAGCATTGCAGTATAGAAAGAGTTTAATTGACATGAGGCCAGCCACGTGGGAGACAGAGTTATTACTCAAATCAGTCTCCCCAAAGGTTCAAAAATTAGAGTTTTTACGGACAATTTGGTGGGCAGGGAGCTAGGGAATGGGTACTTCTCATTGGTTGGGGCTGAAATCATAGGGGTTTAGAAAACAGTCCTTGTGTACCAAGTCTGTCTCTGGGTGGAGCCACAGGATGGCTGAGTTATGAATCACAGGTCCAGATGGAGTCGGTCAGTTTCCAAAAAAAATTGAAAAAGAATCTCAAAAGATCAATTTTAGGTTCTACTATAGTGATGTTATCTATAGGAGAAATTGAGGAGGTCACAAATCTTGTGACCTCCAGCCACATGATACCTGAGCAGTAAGGGATTATAGAAGCCATGCCTACATTTCAGCAGAGTTCAGGGCCCTCCTATCATCCTATTCTTGTGGCCTTTCGTTACTCTTACAAAGGCAGTTGTAGATTCCTGAGCAGGTTTTAGGGAGGGACTATTATCATCTTTGCTTTTAAGTTAAACTCTAAATTAAATTCCTCCCAAAGTTAGGTTGGCCTATGCCCAGAAATGACCAAGGGCAGCTTAGAGGACAGAAGCAAGATGGAGTCAACTATGTCAGATTTGTTTTACTGTCATAATTTTGCAAAGGCGGTTACAAAATCACCCCATTGATTAGAGTATCTTTACTTTTTATGTGACTTAGTACAAGAGGAGGTCAAGACAAACAAGTGGCAGTCTCAACTTCCTAGCTCAGTGGAATCTCTGTTGTTTTCTCTGGTGGAAGCATTTTTCCCTTGGGAACTAAGACCTCTAAGGCAAAAGAGTGAGGAGCAAATATTTTTCAAGTGAGTAATTAGGTGTAATAGTAAAGGTACCACTCCCATTTCTACTCCTTAGTTCTCAGACCTAGCTCTTATGGTCTTAGAAGAATAAGTATTTTGTCTTAGTTTCAGAAGACATACCATAATTTTAGAAAATGAGATTTTAACTTTGCAAAGCATTTTTTCCATAGACATCAACGTCTTTGATAGGCTAATATACAACTCAGATCATTTCAGGTAATTCTTTGGTGTTCTCTATCAGGTATTCAAAGCAAGCCAAATCTGATTTACAAAAGCAAAATAGCAATTTCCAAAGAGGTCATGGCTTTGCTTTAAACCCTTAAAAAAACTGTCCGGTGACTTTCCTATATAAGTTTGATAGAAGTTCCAAATGGCATCCCAATAAGCCACAGATACTTTGAGTGTGACCGGATGTGCCATCTCATCAAAGCCAAGAGACTGAAATGCTTGTATTCCTGCCTGAACCAGTTTTGATCTTCTATTGCTCTTGGATATTCAAAACTAACAGCATTACAGATTAGGGAAGCAAAGTAAGTGTTGTACATATTACCTTCAAGGTTCAAAACATCTTACCTAACAACACGCTCCTTTCATTTTGGTAGGTGACGCAAGTGCAGAAAACTTTTATGTGATATGCTAACATCCTCAGACTGGCAACCTCTAGAAATATCACTGAAAATGTAGGCTTCTGAATTTTGGGGGGGTCCTTCTTTCATCCTCTTCCATGTGTATGTACTTTAACAAGCATCTAGGTATCTGCTACTTCTTATAAATTAAGTCCTATAAGCATGATTTTATCCAAGTAGTGAAGCAGAATGGTGCCCTGTTGAACAGAAAGGTGATCATGTTTTCTCATGACTGAATTGTGGCGTAGAGCCAGAGAAGTAATGTAGAACTGAATCAATATAGTGAAAGAATATTGCTGTCCCTGCTTGGTGAAAGCATGTTGCCCTGGAATTCTCAGTTTATTGGTAGGGAGAAAAATAACATTCTAATTTCTGCATATCAAGTACTAAGTTCTGTGTTATCCACACCTGTAGTAAGATAACATCTGGAACAGCAGCAGCAACTGGAATTGCCAGTCAGTAAACCTAAAATAACCCACCAGACATGTCAAACTGACAAGTTAAGTATGCATATAATCATTAAATATAAATGATTACACAAACTGGAAAAAATGTATGCTGCTGTAAGTTAGCATAATGGTTACCCATAAAGGGATAATGGCTAGAAGAGATGGATGACTCTTGTGATGAGTATATTTTAAAACCAATCTTCTCATCACCCAAGCTCCTCTCCATGGTACTTCTAATCCCCTTACTCTGTTTTAATTTCTCCTGTTATTATGTTTATTATTTATAGTCTCTTCATCTCCCTTACCTCAATGTAAATTCCACAAGGACAGGGATCTTAGTTTATTTGAAATTATCATAAGAATCTAGAAAATTCCTAGCCTATAACAAACATTCTATAAATCATTGTTGAATAAATGTATAATTTTCATTTCTGTGAAAATTATTTGCTTTTTCTCTATTGGAAATTTTAAGATGCTCTTGTAATTTTTGATGTGCCCAATTATAAATTGTTCTTATATGTTTGGCTACACACTCTTATATCTTATGTCTTTCTTTAGCTCTGAAAAATGTTTTAGCATTATTCTTCAAATATTATCTTCCCTCTAAATCAATGTCTTTATTTTGGCAAGTATATTTTTCATGTCCAATATTTCCATTTCTTCATAACTATTTTTTATTTTTAATGGTGCCCTAATTTTTCCAATGACATATTATTGTTTTAGTCTCTTTCATCATGTTTCTTCCAATAAGAGTGTTTCTTTGGCATAATTTATTATCTTTGCTTTATTTTCCTAATAGTATGTCTAGACATCTCATGATTTTTTTTACTGTGAGCTTCTTTTTATTTCCTACAGTTTATTAAATGTTACTGTTTGGGATATCTACAGTTTTGTACCAGTTTTTTGTGTGATTCTGTGTTGGTCTGCCTTCTTCTATTTTTCCCAGAACTTTCAGGGTTTTACATGGGAAGGGGCCAGCAAATTGTGCTCATTTTACTCCTTTGATGAAAACAAGAATTAGTCTTCCAAACTTTCTCTTGTTTCTGGAAAGCTACTTGTTTCTTGCTTCTGCAGATAACCAGGTACCCTTTAACTTTCTACCACCAAAAGTAATAAATGTTTTTATACATGTTTCCTTATGGAACTGTATGGGAATTTTCTTGGGTTTATATGCAAAAAGAATATTTTTGAATCAAAGTGTGTGTGTATACAGTATTTACTCTCATTACCTATTACTAGATTGCTCTCTGGAGTGTGGCCCTACACTCCTACACTATCTCCTGCAGTACAAGAGAATTTCTATGTCTGCATATCCCTACTAATATTTGGCACTAACCAGGTTTTTAAATTTTGCTTGCCTAATAGCCATACTGTAATATTTATTTCCATTTTTATTTATTTGATTAGCAATGATGCTGAGCATCTTTAATGTGCCTGTAGCATTTTATGACTAAGAGAATCTAGAGAATTTTTTTTCTTGCCTTAGGCATTTCAAAGAGTGAGAAATTTCAAGAGTGAGGGCAGCATTAGGAGGTAAGGTTAAGAACAAGATGCAGAGAACACAGCAGAGGATTTAGGGCCCTTACATTTTTTGTGACAACCAACAATCAGAATATTGTTTACAAGGTACAGTACAATTAAAATATGTGGTAAATTTGTCCATGTAGAAACAGTCAAATATTGCATATTGATCAAGTTCACCATATGATGCATTCGCATTTAAGGAAATAAACCAGGGTAAGACAAAGTAGAGGCAGGAAGTGTATATTATAAGCAGTTCTGGCATAGTGAGTTTTGGGATCTTTGAAAGGATCCATTTATTATCCAAAGATAATAAATTATGCCAAAGAAACTACCCTTTTTGGAAGAAACATGATCCATTTCCCAACAAAGTGCTGAACAAATTAAGGTACAAAGTAAAATAATCATTTATTAAAGAACCCAACATGCATGTCACCTTTATTTTTTATAAGACTGATGTTGGAGAATATGACTTATATCCCAGAATTAGATGAACTTTGATTCTCAAGCCCAGAAAAATCTCTTCACTGAAGGACCTGGAAAACGTTGGGCATAAATGAAGTAGTACCAGTGGTTGCAGTCAGAAGGCAGTCTCACACCCAAAGAAAGGAGGAAGAGTCTGGGCTACACTTGCCCTACTTCTCCTCCCAAAATCCACAACCACATATGTTACTTCAGGTCTCTACATGCAATGAGTAAGTTGATGGATGGAGTCCATGAGCTAGTAAGGGCATGGATGGTGTCCATGATCTAATAGAATTGACTTTCTTTGGAAGGAAGTCAGAAAGAAGCATTTCCCCCAACCCACTCCCATCTCCCAGTTTCTCTTTCTAAATCTTCTGAACTCAACCATTAAGTGTATAGTATACAAAGCCTGTGACTTATCCCTGGGGGATGAGAATAGCAATAAATCCAAACAGGTCTGCTGTACCTAATACCAACCACTATCCTTTTGGGTACTTTTCTAGGACTGTAGTGGGCTGCACAGATTTTTCCCAGAAGCCTCTGAAATGGATATAAAAAACTAATTTAATCAACTTTTAAGCCACTCTGCACCTAAGACCAAAAGTTTACTCTGCAGTCTGAGGTGAGAGATGGAAATCTCACCTCAAATTATGTACAGCAGTATTATCCAACATAATCTATTCAAGGTTACGCAATGAAATCAAATGACATTAAATCACTCTAAAAATAAAATTTTAGCATTACAGAGATGCTTCAAATTTGCAAGTAAACTATTTTCACTTTAAAATTCACAGGAAGAATTTAAACTTCAAAAATAAATTCATTTGCAAGCTAAAGTCCACAGACATTAAAAAACCAAAGGGGTTAAAGTTAGAAATCAAATTTTCTTGACCTTGTGAGATAAAGTTCAAAGGAACTATGTTCCAATTTCTTCTTCCTCAAATTTCAATTCTGCTGTCTCTAATATATCTTAATGTGTTGGTGGAGTTCTTTGAGGAGCTGCAACCGGTACTGTCCCTGATTGGAAAAGGTCTCTGAAGTTACATCAATTCCATGTCACATCCGTTAAGAAACTCACTGTTACAGAAAAAAAGTTAATAGGAAAGGAAAGACTGTCACAGCAGTGACCCATGTGCATGAAATTTAGAAAACAAACCATTATTCTTTGGACCTAAATTGTTATCCCAAACTAGATAGTATTCCCCAAATGTAACACCTGGAGTAACCACAGACTCAGTAGTTTCAACTGCGGGAAGACAGAGAAAATAGTCTGGTGCCAGTTCTTCAGAACCTGTGACCTGCAAACATGAAAAGATTTTGAAAAAAATCTCTCAGAAAGAAATTATGTTTTGCATGATAAATGTATCATGTCTGAAGAAAAACCTCCAGTTCACTCTATTTGCTTTTTGCAGAGAATGGCATTTGAGAAATTGTTCCCTTCTTGCAAAGTTTAGTAATTTGCAACTGTAGTCACTAGTTTTATTTGGGGAACCTTTCTTTTACATCCATCCGAATCTCTTAATTTTTATTTCCTTTGGCGCCACAGTATTGAATTAAATGGTGTACTATTTAGTTTTAAAGCTACTAGATTTTCATGTGAGTAGGTATGTTTGTCCTAATGCCATATTGACCGTTTCTGCACTGCTAAATAATTGCAACTTGCTAAAGAACTGCTTATATCTAAAACCTGTCTCATGGAAATGTTCTCCAAGTAGAGCCTATTGGAACCAGCTACCAGGAGGGATATTTTGAGCCTGTGAATGAGGACATGAGTCTGAAGTAGGCTCCTCCACAAATTCCTCCTTGGTGCTGACCTCAGACTGGAATTTGGGGCAGCAGATCTAATGCTGCCTACCCAAGATTGGCACCAGCCCTTTACTATGCTGTCTGGCACATGCAAAACTCAGTTATGTTTCATTTGGTAAGCAGCGAACATTTCTTTGTCTGAGATAGTCACATCCTCACCTCAGCTTTCCCATCAAAAAAAACCCACTGGGGCCCATCAGCATACTTTTTTATCCCCTCCTGACCAGCACATATGGACTAAGGTCAGTTGGCTAAGCTGCCACAGGGTTTATGCTAAATGCATCTATGCTAATAATGTATTATTTGGCTCAGGCCGTTCATGTGGTTCACTTGCCTTTGGTGAAGTCTTCTTCCTCCATAACTTGACTGAGGTCCTTGCTTCTTTGAAGTCTTCCTTATGAAGACCTGTTTCTATAGAAACAATCAAGTATGAACAACAGTACCATATTATAAGACCTCACTGGATCCTGGCCACACAGTTAAAAAACAACTGTGGGATTCTCCACATGGCCTACTGCAATTCTGTAAGAGATAATACTAAGATTATAATATTTCACATGTTACAAGGAAAGGTCCTAAACACATATATACTACCTTGAAGCAGATTTTCTCCCTCATTATTTTGTTCCTTCAATTCTGACCGTTTTTCTTATTTCTCAAAATTCTAGCCCTTAAACTGAGGTCAGCAAATTTTACTTCAGTAGAGGGCAAGATAGTAAATATTTTAGGCTCCGCAGGACAAGAAGTAAAATTGAGACTATTATACAGATACTTAGATAACTACATAAAATGTAATCATTTGAATATGTCAATGCCATTATTAGCTTGTGAGGCATACAAAAGCAGACAGTGGGTTGGATTTGGCCTGCAAGCTATAGTTTCTTTCACCTACCATAAAACATCCTATGCTAGTTACCTAAAATTCCATTTACATCCTTTTTTAAAAGCCAGCCAGAAAATAGAACTAATCTTCCTTTAAAATGTTCAGTTATCATTTGTTTTTTCTAGTTTCCCATCACCTATTTCTAATCACATTATTTCTTCCACTTAGTGGCAGATTTAAATTACAAATGAGACCTTTATAAATTTAAAGTTCCAACTTCCTTTGTCCTTGAATTTTTGGCAAAAGCACTTCGTGTGAGACATTCAACTATGTGGGTCATAAATACTACAAGAAAATCTGCAGCGAGTAATTAGTAAGTCCTCTGGCCTCAAGTCATAGAAATTTGTACTCTAGTGGAAGGTACCTTCGATTTAAATAATAAGAAAGATTTGTAAAATAATGAAGTAGTAAAATTAAGAGATAAGTGTATAAAAATTATTTTAATATAGGAAAAAACCTTGATATTCAAATTTTGTCTCTTCATTCTAAAACACCAAGCCCTCTACCTTAATTACGACCACCTGAGAGCTCCAGGTTCTCTCCAGGGGTTATAATTTTACGTTATAAACTTTCATTTCTTCAAAGTACACTCTCAGATCCATTACCTTGAATGCAAACTTTTTTTTTTTTTTTTTTTGAGAAAGAGTCTCGCTCTTTCACCAAGCCGGAGTGCAGTGGCACAATCTCAGCTCACTGCAACCTCCGCCTCCTGGGCTCAAGTGATTCTCCTGCCTCAGCCTCCAGAGTAGCTGGGACTACAGGTGCGTACCACCACGCCCAGCTAATTTTTGTATTTTTAGTAGAGACGGGGTTTCACCATGTTGGCTAGAATGGTCTTGATCTCTTGACCTTGTGATCCGCCTGCCTTGGCCTCCTAAAGTGCTGGAATTACAGGCGTGAGCCACCATGCGAGGCCGAATGCAAACTTTCTTAACTTTAAAAGTATGAAAGTGAGGAGATGGATGTTATCATTAGAGTCTCATTCCATTTTTGATGTTTTGCTGCTGAAAGTTTTCAAGTCCTAGCTCTCTCCCCTTCTGACTTGTCCCACTTCTAGGAAAACTAATGAGAAAGCTCCATCTCCCTGTTTTAGCTCAGGGGGAAGTTCAAACCACAAAAACCTGCCCCCACCCCTTAATCACAGCAAAAACCAAAGCCATTTCAGACCAGCCCTTGTCTTCCCAGAAAGCCTCATACATGAATAATGAATCTTTTCACATTTTCTTGGTGTGTGTGTGATACCATCAGTCTCAATTTCAAATCACCTTTAGGTATGGGGATAAGCAGATGGGTGTTAACACCCATGTGGCAACAGCAGTTATGCATCTGTTTACTATAATTGTGTCAGCCCAGTCAAGGCCACCTTGTTAACAGATTTGTTTATTCATTCTCTTTATAAGTTAAAATTTGGCGTTTTCTTCTGTATTTCAACCTACATGTATATCTGGTTCAAAATAAGTTCTCAAGTTTCTTTTTTTTTTTTTTTTTGAGACAAAGTCTTGCTCTGTCACCCAGGCTGGAGTACAGTGGCACCATCTTGGCTCACTGCAACCTCTGCCTCCTGGGTTCAAGCAATCCTTGTGCCTCAGCCTCCCAAACAGCTGGGACTACAGGCGTGTGCCACCATGCCTGGCTAGATCTTTTGTAGTTTTTTTTTTTAAGTAGAGATAGGGTTTCGCTATGTTGGCCAGGCTGATCTTGAACTCCTGACGTCAGGTGATCTGCCCACCTTGGCCTCCCAAAGTGCTGGGATTACAGGCATGAGCCACTGTGCCCAGTTTCAAGTTTCTTTGGCCAAAAAAAAGTCGTCTTTTTCACTTGGGTTGAGGTTACATGCTAGCTCTGAATGAGTCTGGAAGTATATACTGTTCTGCTGCTCCCAAAATTCCCAAAGGATTCCCTCTACCAACTCATCTGCACCATGATCTCTTTATGCCTTTATCTAGGTAGACACATGGTTCTCATCTTCTATCCAGAGTCTAAATTAATCCCATATAATTTACATCTTACTGTAATTATCTTATCTATACATAGTGTCATTTTAACATAAAGTCACATTATGATCTCTTACACTCCCAATGAAGCGACGTCATTGTCTGGGCTAAATACCTGGGTGTTGCAGGAAGTCAGGGACCCTGAACGGAGGGACCGGCTGAAGCCACAGCAGAAGAACATAAATTGTGAAGATTTCATGGACATTTATTAGTTCCCCAAATTAATACTTTTATAATTACTTACGCCTGTCTTTACTGCCATCTCTGAACATAGATTGTGAAGATTTCATGGACATTTATCACTTCCCCAATCAATACTCTTATAATTTCCTATGCCTGTCTTTATTTTAATCTCTTAATCTCGTCATCTTTGTAAACTGAGGATGTGTGTCACCTCAGTACCCTGTGATGATTGCGTTATCTTTACCAATTGTTTGTGAAACATGTGTGTTTGAACAATATGAAATCTGGGCATCCTAAAAGAACAGGATAACAGTGATTTTCAGGGAGCAAGCGAGATAATCATAAGGTCTGACTGCCTGTGGGGCCGGGCAGAACAGAGTCATATTTCTCTCCTTGCAAAAGCAAATAGGAGAAATATCGCTGAATTCTTTTTCTCAGCAAGGAACAGCCCTGGGAAAAGAATGCATTCCCAGGGGGAAGCCTCTAAAATGGCTGCTCTGGGAGTGTCTGTCTTATGCAGTTGAAGATAAGGGATAAAATACACCCTGGTCTCCTGCAGCACCCTCAGGCTTGCTAGGATTAGGAAATTCCAGCCTGGCAAATTCTACTCAAACCGATTGTCTGCTCTCAAACCCTGTTTCCTATTAAGATGTTTATCAATGACAATGCATGCACAGTGGGACATGAAACCTCATCAGCAATTCTAATTTCACCCTGGCCTTGTGATCTTGCTCTGCCCCCATATGCCTTGTGATATTTTATTGCCTTTTGAAGCATGTGATCTCTGTGACCCATACCCTATTCGTACACTCCCTCCCCTTTGAAAATCGTTAATAAAAACTTGCTGGTTTTGCGGCTTGGGGGCATCACGGAACCTGCCAACATGTGATGTCACCCCCAAGACCAAGCTGTAAAATTTCTCTCTTTTGTACTCTTTCTGTTTATTTCTCAGACTGGCCGACACTTAGGGAAAATATAAAAGAACCTACGTTGAAACACTGGGGGCTGGTTCCCCCAATACCTGGGGTTCATGATCTCCCACTGAGAAGTCTAATGACACAGACACACACACATGGATTGGGTTAAGGAGTGAAAATTTTAATAGGCAGAAGAAAAGAGAGAGAAGAGCAGCTGTCTCTCTCTTGTGATAGAGACATCCAAAAGGGGAAAAGCAGCAGACTGCAGCCAATTTTATAGGTAGGCTTGAGGAGGCAGTGTCTGATTTACCAGGACCCACAGATTGGTTCAACCAGATATGATGTTTACGTAGCACAGAGAAGGCTGGTCACCCCACCCTAATCTTATTATGTAAATGGGCTTTCCACTCAGCCAGCGCCATCTTGTCTGCTCCTTACTGTACACATGGCTGACAAAGAGCAGATGGAGCCACCATTTTGATCATGTCTGGTCCCAGGTAGCATTTTCTCCTATAGGCACAACTGCCAGCATTCACCTGTGCCAGCTTCTAGCTTGCTTGTTTATGTCTGCAGCCCAGTTTTACAGGCTGCTTTTAGTTAGAAAAGAAAACGATCTGGGAGCTGTTTTTCATGAAAAGAAAACCTAACCAAGGATTTCCATACTCTCATTATCTGCCTAATTTCTTTTTAACTCCTAAATCAGCTTTGCAATAAGAAATTTTTCATCATATCTTTATCATCTCACTTAACTCTACATATTGTGTTGGAATATTCCTCTTTCACACTCTTCTATTAGGTGACTAGGAGGGGGCTAATCTTGACAACTAGCATGCAGGCTGTTTTCATCATTCCATAGTATCTGTCTCCATTGAATTTCCCCATCCCAAATGGTTTTAATTCGTCAGAAGCATGGAGAAAGCAACTTTATGTTTTCCCTCTGTGATGGTTAATACTGAGTGTCCACTTGATTAGACTGAAGGATGCAAAGTATTGTTCCTGGGTGTGTCTGTGAGTGTGTTGCCAAAGGAGATTAACATTTGAGTCAGTAGACTAGGAAAGGCAGACCCACCCTCAATCTGGGTGGGAACCATCTAATCAGCTGCCAGTGTGGTCAGAATAAAAGCTAGCAGAAGAATGTGAAAGACTAGACTGGTTTAGTCTTCTGGCCTACATCTTTCCCCGATGCTGGATGCTTCCTGCCCTTGAACTTCAGACTCCAAGTTCTTCAGGTTTCAGACTCGGACTGGCTTCCTTGCTCCTCAGCTTGCAGACGGTCTATTGTGGGACCTCACCTTTGTGATCATGTGAGTCAATACTCCTTAATAAACTCCCCTTTATATATACATCTATCCTGTTACTTCTGTCCCCATAGAGAACCCTGACTAATATACCCTCACTCTCCATTAAACTCATTCCACTAAAGAGCTCTGTTCAATCCTCCAAAATGAAATTGCAATGAATCCCCTAGCTTTTTCAGTCACTATCAGATAATAAATAACAGAATTCCTGTCCAATGGCTCATTACTCCAAGCTCAATTCACCTGCTCCAGACTGCTTCAGGCTCAGAAGTCTGAAATAGGGAGAGCTGTGAAGGGGATCAGGATATGCCACTCCAAAATATGCCACTTTGGCAAAAAGAGTATTTTGAGCTGAGGATTATTAAGAATCAAGATGCAGAACAGTTTGTTGCCCTCCCCTTATCTGCCCAAAAGCAGGACATAAATTTATTTTTGCAAAGATGTGTCCCCCACAACCCCTTCCTCATACCAGAAAGAGGAGAGCAACTATTATCACTGAAGACAGAGTCAACAAGGAGATAAGTTTGCATAAAAATACCCTATGAAAATAACTGTTATCTTCCATTAGTTTTCTCATGTTTCCAAGTCACTTATCTGCAATTTATCATCCCTCAAAATTCAAACTCCCTTTCTTTTGTTAACATTACCATCTAACTAAGCCCCTGAGTCTAAATACTCCTTGAGTTTCACTTTTTCCCCCTGTGAACTCCCATGAATGTAAACATTAATAAAAATTGTATGCCTTTTCTCCTATTAATCTGTCTTTTGTTAGTTTAAGTCACAGACCCCCAGATACTGAATATGACAGAGTAGAGGAAAAGTTTTTCCTCTCTGCCAGCTGCTCTTGAGGATTCCTCAGACCCACCAACTTCCCAGATGGTGATAGAGTTTTTTCCATTGTCCACTTAGGACCCATGTCTGCTTTCTATTTTCCAATAGTTCCTCCCTCTCTTGGAGTCTTTTCACCACTCCAGATGTCCTCTTTGTGGAGTCCCTTTAAATATTAACCCACATGTCTGCTGGGTCAACATGTAATACTCAAGAGATAGGTCCTTTTCCACACCACAAATTACATCTCACTTTCTGTGCAGACCTTTCTCTGTCACCAGGCAGGCATCTCAAGTGATGCTCTGCCTGGGATATTTCCTGACAAAATTCACACATAGCCTCAATCTCTAGGACCTCCAAACATGGAATACCACATCAACCTCTGTATGCTTCATTTGGAAAAGACAATAGCCTCTTCAACCTCTCTCATGTAACCTGGATGTGGCCAAAAAGTGGAGGTTGGCAGAACAGCCTTCACAATCGCTCAGTATGTATTGTACCATATTTGTGATCCACCTCTTCCTTGCTCTATGCCTTAGTGGTACTTCTTTTTGGTTTTGGAGGCTTATAAGTAATCTCTGAGATAGCAGGAAGAGTTGTATTTAACATTCTATTATATTTGATAAAACAGAGTTACCATGACCTTTCAAAGAGTAAGATATAGGCAGGGCTCATGAATAAAATAGAGCAGTGTTGTTGCTGTTTTTATTCTGCTCTAGAGAAAATTAAGGGAAGACAAGATGTAGCTGCTTTGTTTTACCCAAAATGACAATGGACCAATGGAAAATCTTTTCTGGAGTGGTTTAGGTCTCAAGTTGCAGGCTTTCTATGCACAATGCAGTTAAGATCTTGGCTCTGGAACAAGATAAATAGGGACACAATTCCCATTCTTCCACTTATTTATTGTGTGATTTTGGACATTGTTTTAAATTTTGATGTGCATTTTAACTACTGGAAGACTAAAAGGAGGGCTGGAAATCATTTTTCTAGTTATTCACAGTGTTTAGTAGACCTGGATCACAATAATGTATTTTAATTGATGAGAATTTTATACATTTTGACTGCAGATTCCTTAACACCAAGTCTTCTTGTAATGTAAAATTAACTTTTTCTACTTAATGTGAAATTTTAAGTTAGAAAACTTAAAAGTTTTTTGTAATGAGAGATAGAGAACAAACTATCTCATATCTCATCTTTAATCGTCAGTTTTCCCATGAATAGCCTAAAGACAAAGAAAAAAATTATTCTATGCTATGAGTGTGCTACAGTTTGATTAACCACATATTTATTGAAGGACATTTTGGTTTTTTTCTAGTTTAGGATGATTACAAATTAAGCTGCTGTAACCATTCTTGTATAGGTTTTTGTAACACAAATTTTTATTTCTCTGTGATAAATGCCTACAAGGGTGTAACAGTACTGACTCCATGTTAGAGAAAAGCTCATTTGCTTGAAATAATTACTGCTTTGCTAGAGTTTATAGATTATTCATTAAAAACAGCCTTAGGAAAACTAGACCTTCAACAAAGATAAAAGAAAATATACTGACCAACAACTCTGGAAATGGGCTGGCTGGCCTGATAAGAATAGCCTGAGGTGCCTGCAGAAGGTTACCAGACATTGACCTAAAAAGCCATAATTAACTACCTGCCTGAGACAGTGCACATTTTACTAGAATGCTTTGATCATCATTTGCACTTCCCCCAGTTTTCTCTTAAAAACCCCTGATGCAGAGACACAAATCAGAGAAGCGGTCTTTGAACATGAGTTCACTGCCTCCCTCAGGTTACCAGCTTCCAAAATAAAAGCTAACTTTCCTTTTCACCAAAGCTTGTCTCTTGAGTTTTGGCTTTCAAGTGATGAATGGCCAGACCTGAGTTCAGTTACAAGTGTTTTTATTGAGTCATATGGTAGTTGAATGTTTAATTTTATAAGAAACGGCCAAACTATTTTCCAGAGTGGCTGTATCATTTTACATTCTCAGCAGCAATGTATGGAAGATCTAGTTTCCCTAAATTCTTACAGCATTTGGCATTGCCACTATTTTTTATGTTAACCATATTAACATGTATAATGATATCTCATTAGTCTTAATTTGCATTTGCTTCATAGCTAGTGATGTTAAACATCTTTTCCTGTGCTTATTATTTATACATCCTCCAGTGAAATGTCTGTTCATGTCTCTTTTCCATGTTCTAATTGAATTTTATTTGTTGTTGTCATTGTTTTATTATAAACTTCTAAGAATTCTTTATATATTCTAGATATCAGTTTGATACCTAGATATGTAACATGTAATATATATATTCCATTCTCCCAATCCACACCTTGTTTTCATCCACTTAACAGGGTCTTTTGCAGAGAAAGATTTTAATTTTGGGAAAATCTAATTTACCAATTTTTTTGCATCTGTGTGTCATGTTTTTGCTGTCAAGTCTAAGAACTTCACCAAGTCTTAAGTCCTGAATATTTTCTCACATGCTTTCTTCTAAAAGTTTGAGAGTTTTACATTTTACATTTAAATAGATAGTCCACTGTGTGTTAATTTTTGTATGAGGTGTGAGGTTCAGTTCCCTGCGAGTCTGTTTCCCTTTTTTTTTTTTAAGCATATTTTTTCCCTGTTCCAGATTGGGTAATTTTTATTGTTCTTTCAAATTCACTGATTTTTTTTATCTGTTATCTCCATTCTGTTGTGAAACTCATTCACTGAGTTTTCATTTTGTTTATTGTATTTTTTTCAGTTCTAGAATGTCCATTTGTTCCCTCTTTACATATTTTATTTCTTCACTGAGATTTTCTGTTTTTTTAATTTGTTTCAAGTGTATTTACAATTGTTTGCTGGAGCATTTTTATGATGGCTGCTTCAAAATCCTATCAGATAATTCTAACATCTGTGTCATGACAGTGTTGGAATTTACCGGTTGTCTTTTTCATTCCATTTTTGATCTTCCTGGTTTTTGGAATGATGCCTTGCTTTTTATTGAAACCTGAACATTTGTGTGTTACATTATAAGACTTGGGATCTCTTTTAAACTTTAGCTGTTACTGTTGTTGTTGTTGTTTTTCTTTTTTTTACATTGCTCCAGTTTGGGTAGGATGATGCTGTTTTGTTCCTGTTTTAATGACCTCCTATTCACCTTATTGGTAAGGGAAAGATTCCTGCCTAGAGCCATAGAGATGGCTGAACACATGATACCCAATACTAGACAGATGAAATTGATAGCAATTTATTAGTCACAGGTACTCACAGCCTGTGAAGGAGGACTCAACATACTACACCATACCAGGTCACACACTCAAAGACAGAATGAACAACCAGGTACTGTAGAAGGAAAACTTGGTAGTATCAAGAGAGTGGGATGCCCCCTGGTTCCTGTGAGAGGATATGATTGACTTGTTTGAATAATTCCAAGGGCTGGAATTGAAACCCACTACTCAGGGATAAGCAGGAACTTCACCTGATCCTCTTGATGGGGAGATTGTTGGGCTAGAGGGCCTTATCTGCAGCATCAGGGGGAGGGGAACATGTGGTTAGGCCAGTTGAGGCCCTTCTGGTTTCAACAAATGTTAAGACAACACTTAATACTTGACCTTAATTTTAGGCCTTACACCATATTACTGCCAGGTGGAGATAGAATGTGGAAGGTCTTGGCCCGGCAGGGTGGCTCACACCTGTAATCCCAGCACTGTGGGAGGCCAAAGAAGATGGATCACTTGAGCCCAGGAGTGACCAGCCTGGCAACATAGAGAGACCTCAGCTCTACAAAAAAAAATTTTTTAATTAGCCAGTGTAGTGGTGCACACCTGTAGCCCAAATATTCAGGAGGCTGAGGTGGGAGGATCACTTGAGCTTGGGTAGTAGAGGTTACAGTGAGCTGGAACTGTGCCACTGTACTCCAGCCTGGGTAACAGAGTGAGACACTGTCTCAAAAAAAAAAAAAAAGAGAGAGAGAGAAAGAAATGTGGAAGTCTGAGTTCCCCTCTCAGCCTTAATGTATACCTGGGGAAGGGGGGAGAAGGGCTCCTTGTTGCCACTGAGGGCAGGTGGTAGTTCTGGTTCTCAATAAGCCTCTGCTGACATAACCCTGGCTGGGAGAATGAGGGACACTTACTACTTCCTTCTATGTGGCCTTCACTGACACCATGGGGTGGCCTTGTCACCTCTGGAAGCAGGTAAAGGTCCTAGTTTCCCACTCAGCCTTCAGTAATACCACCACGGCAGGGAGAAGGAGGAGCAGTTGGTTATTGCTGGATGGGAATGGAGGTCCATGCTCCCCAAATATTCTCTACTGACATGCCCAGTTGGGAATTAAAGTGTCAGCTCCCCTTGGCCTTCTGGGAAACACATCAAGTTGGGGAGGGAAACTCATCACAACTGGGCAAGGGAGGAATCCTAGGCTTTCCACCAGGCCTTTATTGCTGGGGGTATAGGAGGGGTCACACTTTTCTCTATGATGTTTGATTACACTAGAGTAATTGTTGTCTAAAACTTTACCGGTATACTGCCTACTTTTTGGTTTTGCCTAGAAAAAAAAAACAGGCTTTTCTTAATTTTTCCTTTTTCTCTGTGATTATTCACATTTCGAGGTTGCTGGCTTTTTCACCACACAGAAATATAAGCATATATTAGGCAAAAAGAAAACCCAGGAAATTGACCACTGTGTCTTGTCTAGAGTTCTGAAATTCCTAGCCAGTCTATCTTGACTCCACCTTTCAAAGTCTTCTCAATTTGTTTTATATCTAATGTCCCAGGCACTTAGCTGTACTTAGTGGGAGGAATGAGAAAAAATGCACCTCCTTCATCTTGTTCTGGAAGTAGAAGTTTCATTTTCTTTTTCTCTATGTATGTATGCCTTCTTTTAACTCCTTTACAGTGTTTTTTGAGGGTATCAGGAAAGAGTGGGGTTAATATGTCAATCCACCATCTTTAACCAGGGCCCAATAACCTGCCATTTTTTTTTCTTCTCTCTGCTGCTTAAGATTAGCTTTCTCATTTTCTCTAGGTAATGTGCAAAATCCATGTGCATGATAGCTCCCATGTCTACATTATAGGGCTAACAATTCAAAATGAGAAAAAAATTATTCTCTTGGTGTCAAATTCCCATTCCCAAAGAAGAAACTTATATTGACCTAGGTTAGGGTGAAGTCCATTTTTTAGCCAATTAGCTTTGGCCAAAGGATAAGGACACACTGAACAAATAAGGAAGTAACCATGCATATTAGAGTGGAAAGAAGTTTCCAAAAACGGGGCATTTGAACATACAGCTCTGTAGATGTTACTATACCTAATATTTACACGGTGTTTTCTCTGGTCCGTGTACTTTGCTTAGTACTTTACATCTCATTTAATCCTCAGAACAATCCTATAAAATAATCATGAATATTTCCTCCATTTTGCAAACAGGAAACTATCAAAACTGGGTAATCCAAAGTGGCAGAGTGGGAGATTTGGACTTCCATCTTACTCCAGAGCCTAAGATCTTAATCATTTTGTCATATTACCTGCAAGCAGAAAAGTATGCTACTTCAAGGAAGCACCATTTCCCATGAGACACAGATATTTTTAAGTTTTCACTTTGAGCAGTAGAAGTATATCTCCCTTGAGAAAGCCAGGCTGGCATCATGGAAATATTTTGACCTGAATTTGAAATTACTCACTCTTTACAAGTCAAATAAACCTATTCAAAATAGTCATGCATGCATGTGCACACACAAGCAAGCATCCACGCATCTCCTAAAGAGGGAAAAAATGTACTAAGCCTTTCAGTAAGTTAGATTTTACATAAACAACAGCAGTTTTTAAAACAGATGTCAATAAATTCTCTCTGGCTTGCATTTGGATAAATTAGGAATTCATGTGTTTATTCACTAATAAATACTTGTTAGTTTGTACAGATTCTACCATTGTAGGTTATATATAAATATTTATATATGTGAATGGTTACAGAAGAAATATAACAAACCCATAGCTATAAAAATTCTAGAGAGTATTATAATTGGGATTAAATGCTATGAAGGAAGAAGGATAAATTCCCTTTAAAAGGGAAAGATCTGGGAAAGTTTTCATAAAGAAGTGGCATTTTGGCTGAGCAATGCAGACAAGGGATATAAATAAACACATAGAAATGGTGTGGTTACTCTGTTGCTTCACTTAACTGGGAAAATCTGAAGAACCACCTATTAAAGCTGAAATTAAAATATTGTTTATTTTCCTGCAACAGGCTTTTATGTTACTAATGGTGATTTGAAAGACTTCTTAAGGATACAGAGCTCCTTCAGACTCCACAATATACGGAATCAGAGAGGGAGTTAGAAGATGATAATAATAAGATATTAATACTCTGTTCTAGAAATTATGCTTAAATACCACAGTGATCCAAGTTTCCATTAGCCCTAACCCTTCTTTTTTTAAAAGTTAAATGGGTCAGAAACTTTTTATTTCTATTTCCGCATAGCTTTTTGTCACAGATAAAAATTCAGCTTCATTGTGTTTCTTCAATTTTTTTTGCCCTCTATTCTGCCCTAGTTCATTGATTTATTGTGCAATTTTTATATTTTATTTATTTATTTATTTATTGAGATAGGGTCTTGCTCTGTCACCCAAGCTAGAGTTAAGTGCAGTGATCATAGCTCACTGCAGCCTCAACCTCCTGGGCTCAAGCAGTCCTCCCACCTCAGCTTCCAGAATAGCTGGGACTACAGGCATGCACCACTATGCCCAGCTAATTTTTTATTTTTATTTTTTTGTAGCGGTCTCACAATATTGCCCAGGCTGGTCTCAAGCAATCCCCCCACCTCAGCCTCCCAAATTGCTGAGATTACAAGCATGAGCCACTGCGCCTGGCCTACTCTGTATTTTGTGTCCATCCAACACCCTCCTCGTTTACTTCTCTTCAAAGACTTTCTAATTCTTTCTCATTCATTTCCTTTGTCTCTTTTCTCCCCTATCCTCTTTTTCTTTTCTTCTTTTTATGTCCTAATTTCTCATCATTCCTTGTTATCGTGGTCCCCCCTGCCTGTAATAAAATATTGCCCAGTGCAAAGAATGCAGTGGTCCCAACAGACAAAATACTTAAAAGTACTTTCTAAATATCTTATTTGGTATACCCCAGAACTTAATCCTCAAGTGTAATATCAATTCTTTGAAATATTTATTTAGATGAAAAATATAAAACAGAGCTAATTGCATATTTTTCTACCAACTTAATCTTAAAATGTAGTATCAAGTCTTTAAAATGTTTATTTGGATAAAAAAGATAAAACAGAGCTAATTACATATTTAACTTCTACCTAAATCTGAGTGTTAGCCAAAGACTTATCTTTATACAGCATATATTGCTTCTATAAGTCATTACCCTACTGCCTTTAGATACAAACTCTCTAGATAAAATTACATCATGAAAATAAACATGTTTTAATCCTAAATTGTATGTTTGTTCTATGCCATTTTCTTAACATTAAATTAATGTTACTTTTTTAAAATGGAAAGAACCTTTGCTAAATAAAGGGTTATGGAACAAATTTTATCCATAGAAAACGTCAAGGCCACAGTCTTTTTCAAATCAGGTCACTGTAACAGGGAGCTATTACTCAAATACCATGGCAAGATTTCATCTTTTTGTTCTATGATGAAGGATATTGTGATTTGTGGTGTACACAGATGGAAAATTCATAGTTTAATGTACTTTATTCCAGAGTCAAAATGAAATAACATAGCGAAGTAACCCAAAAAATGAAGAGCTGTGGTTCAAAATTTTCTGCCAGCTTTGTCATTTGCTAACTCTGTGGCCTGGTTGTTAGCTAACTCTCTTAAAAACAGGCCCATTTTTAGGTCTAACGTTTAAGTCTTTAATCCATCTTGAATTGATTTTTGTATAAGGTGTAAGGAAAGTATCCAGTTTCAGCTTTCTACATATGGCTAGCCAGTTTTCCCAGCACCATTTATCAAATAGGGAATCCTTTCCCCCTTGCTTGTTTTTCTCAGGTTTGTCAAAGATCAGATAGTTGTAGATATGTGGCGTTATTTCTGAGGGCTCTGTTCTGTTCCATTGATCTATATCTCTGTTTTGGTACCAGTACCATGCTGTTTTGGTTACTGTAGCCTTGTAGTATAGTTTGAAGTCAGGTAGTGTGATGCCTCCAGCTTTGTTCTTTTGGCTCAGGATTGACTTGGCGATGCGGGCTCTTTTTTGGTTCCATATGAACTTTAAAGTAGCTTTTTCCATTTCTGTGAAGAAAGTCATTGGTAGCTTGATGGGGATGGTATTGAATCTGTAAATTACCTTGGGCAGTACGTTAGACCTAAAACCATAAAAACCCTAGAAGAAAACCTAGGCATTACCATTCAGGACATAGGCATGGGCAAGGACTTCATGTTTAAAACACCAAAAGCAATGGCAACAAAAGCCAAAAGTGACAAATGGGATCTAATTTAACTAAAGAGCTTCTGCCCAGCAAAAGAAACTACCCTCAGAGTGAACAGGCAACCTACAAAATGGGAGAAAATTTTTGCAACCTACTCATCTGACAAAGGGCTAATATCCAAAATCTACAATGAACTCAAACAAATTGACAAGAAAAAAAAAAAACCCCATCAAAAAGTGGGCAAAGGACATGAACAGACACTTCTCAAAAGAAGACATTTATGCAGCCAAAAAACACATGAAAAAATGCTCACCATCACTGACCATCAGAGAAATGCAAATCAAAACCACAGTGAGATAGCATTTCACACCAGTTAGAATGGCAATCATTAAAAAGTCAGGAAACAACAGGTGCTGGAGAGGATGTGGAGAAATAGGAACACTTTTACACTGTTGGTGGGACTGTAAAGTAGTTCAACCATTGTGAAAGTCAGTGTGGTGATTCCTCAGGGATCTAGAACTAGAAATACCATTTGACCCAGCCATCCCATTACTGGGTATATACCCAAAAGACTATAAATCATGCTGCTATAAAGACACATGCACACGTATGTTTATTGCGACATTATTCACAATAGCAAAGACTTGAAACCAACCCAAATGTCCAAAAATGATAGACTGGATTAAGAAAATGTGGCACATATACACCATGGAATACTATGCAGCCATAAAAAATGATGAGTGCATGTCCTTTGTAAGGACATGGATGAAATTGGAAATCATCATTCTCAGTAAACTATCGCAAGAACAAAAAACCAAACACCGCATATTCTCACTCATAGGTGGGAACTGAACAATGAGAACACATGGACATAGGAAGGGGAACATCATACTCTGGGGACTGTTGTGGGGTGGGGGGAGGGATAGCATTGGGAGATATACCTAATGCTAGATGACGAGTTAGTGGGTGCAGCGCACCAGCATGGCACATATATACATATGTAACTAACCTGCACATTGTGCACATGTACCCTAAAACTTAAAGTATAATAATAATAAATAAATAAATAAATAAATAACAGGCCCATTTTTAACATATCACATATAGGGTTCTCGATGGGGATGAGGGAGGGCAAAAAGTGGATTTTCTTAATGTCACCTACAGCAGATACCTAAAATTATGAATATATTTATATGGACAGGTTTGGAGATGTTATAAATGAAAGCCAATAAAGGTACATCTTACTTAAGTAGGGTGATATTTTTCTCTTCATGGACATGTGGCCTAGTGTTGTGATGCTATGCAATGCTCATGCCGCTGGTATGTATTTTTAAGAAAAGGCAGAAGCTTGCTATGTTGCCCAGGCTGGCCTTGAATTCCTGGGATCAAGCAATCCTCCCACTTCAGCCTCCCAGGAAGCTGGGACTATAACGGTGTGCTACCATGCCCAGATGCACTGGTATATATCTTAATATTGCAGTTTCAGAATGAAGTACTACCCTGATAACTCCAAAACTATAGCCTTAGGCAAAAACCTTTCCACCAGAGATAACTAGTATTTTAAATGTGAGGGAAACAGAGTTACTGGGCAGCTAGAAGTGAAAAAAATCATTACTTTAACACTACTAATAAAATATGCTCATAATATCTCTTATATGAACATCCTACCCAAATCTTTATTATTTTGGTAGATTTGTGGGGATGTCTTTAGCAGGGGATCTATTTAGGGACATGACAGTACACAGTTGTGGTGGTAGAAGTGGTAAGCCAGTAGAAATAATTAACTAGGGGTTCAGACAACTGAGAACCCTGACACTGGAAAATCTTAAGTCAGTTAAAAGATAAATTAAGTTGTGGGGCATAGCAAAAGTAGAAAGGAATTTGATGATATGGGCCTTGCAGAGCATGATAAGGAATTTACTTTTAAAAGCAATAGAGAAATCATGGAAACATTTTAAGTTGAGGATATCATTGTCAACTGTGAAGGATCTAAGACTACTCTACTTGGTAGCAACCTATCACAGTTTCAGGTTTTCTGACAGAGAACATGAGACTCACGAATCAGAGACAAATGACTTTATTACTCATGGAAGAACAAACAGCGTATCAGCATATCTGTGTCAATTCCCCTTGCCTCTAAGTCCCACAAATTGAATAGGCCCCAGTGGATTACTATGCCCATGGTTTAATTATAGAAGAGAAAACCCAAGCCTGGGGAACCCAAATCTTTTATCATGAGCAATAAGCATGTCTGCCATTTGTTCCCAAAGTGACTTTATTTTTACTGTGCTGAACAGTAAGCATGCACACTTAATAAACTACAGTATGGTGTAAACTTTTATATGCAGTGGGAAACCAAAAATTCATGTCACTCGCTTTATTGCAATATTTATTTTATTGCAGTGGTCTGGAACAGATCCCACAATATCTCTGAGATCCACTTGGATATCCTTTGATGAATATCCCCCCTTTTTCCCTCCCTCCTAACCACCCCAACCTCTGGTAACCAGCAGTCTACACTATACTTCTATGAGATCAGCTTTTTTAGATTCCACATATGAGTGAGATTATTATCTTTCTGTGTCTGGCTTATTTCACTTAGCATAATGTTTTTCAAACTCATCCATGTTTTCACAAATGAGAAAATTTCATTCTTTCTATGGTTGAATAGCATTCCATTGTGCATATATACCACATTTTCTTCATCCACTCATCCATTGATGGACACTTAGGTTGGCTCCACATTGTGAATATTATGAATAGTGCTATTGTGAATAATGCTGCAGTAAATGTGGGTACAAAGATAGCTCTTCAACATACTAATTTGATTTCCTTTGGATATATACCCCGTAGTGATATAAAGTATATAGTACCAGAGAGATGAGCAGAATGAGTAGAAGTTAACCAGGCAAAGAAGAGGAGGATGTCCTTCCTGAATGATAGAGTAGTACATTCTGAGTCCAGAAAAGATTAGGCTATATATACAAAACTAAGTGAAAGCCAGCCACACTGGAATGTAGAGTATGCAGAGGGAAGTGGCAATAAATGAGCCTGGGGAGGAACCTGGGCTCCCTTTCCATGAGCCAGTCATTGCAGGGATTGCAGTAAGCACTTAACATAAGTTGAGCTCTATCCCAGCATGTCTGGGGAGCTAAAGATCACACCTAAGAAAAGAGTATCCTAATACACACCCCCTACAAATAACTACCCTCTCTCAATGTATCCATATCCCAGGGTTGTGCAGACTGGGTTTTACAGATAGACTAGCAGGTTATGAGATGTTTTTCAGGTGATACCTTAAATCTTACCATTAGAGATTGATTCTTCAGGATTAACACTTGCATTTGAAATTCAAATAGATTTTAGAAAGCTCAATCATTACATTCTTATTTCTTTGTTATTTTATGAGAATTAAAAGACACTGTTCTCTTTTGCTGACAACTAGCTATTATCACAGGAATGGAAGAATAGAAATAATGATGGGAAGAGGAGAAATGAACACTTTTTGAGCCTCAAGCAATGCCTAAAGGTAGCATCAAGGCACTAGTGCCAATGGAGGTGGACCAATATATAGGAAGACACCTCAGAAAGGGGATTTGGGAAAAGGCTAAAAATGAACCTAATTTGTAGATACATCAATAGCTATATGTAAGTCCATTTTGTAAGCACACATTTTTTTAACAGATATGAATACATAGTTCCTTTGTTTTTTCACTCCACAGGTCTTAACTGAGGAATCCATTGTGTGCTGAAAACAATGCAAATCTCTGAAGATAAAAAAAAGAGAGAGAGAATGACACAGCTTCTGTACTCAATGAGAGAAAGGATTACAAGGTGTGATGAGAGTTCCTGACTAACTCAACTAGAGAAGAAAGGAGGTTGGGGAGGCCACCTCAGCGGCAATGATAATTGCCCTGAGTTTCTAAAGCAGAGTTATTATGAGGGGGAGAATGGTGATATGATTAAAGACAAGAGTCCTATCCTGAGAAGTTCATAGCTAAAAATAAAGAGGGTGCCAGGTGTGAATTCAGAAGTTTGGACCTATTGGTAACATGACTTGTAGATACGCTTGCTATAAAGGCACACAGAATAAGATCAGAAGAATGATGTGTAGAGATGGTTGTGGAAGACAGAAGCAGAAGGTCAACAGGCAATTGGCAAGACACCAGAAAGAAATCTAAAAGGCATACACTTAGTTCAGAATTATAGCACATCTGGGAATAAAAAAAAAAGAAAACATGGTGATGTCTCAAAACTGATATCAAAATAAATCTCATTAACTGAAGAAAATAACTTGATCTTAAATCTGTTTGCTAACTATGATTTTCAACAAAAGACTTCTCAGGAAGTAATTTTACTCAGATCCTTATAGGTTGAAAGAATTAAAAATAGAAACTTTTCCTTCTGTTAATGCCATTAGCTGACAGCTAATGAGATTGAAGGAATATGATATAATAAACTTATTTGTAAACATCCTAAACTTGTATTCTTTAATATAACTTTCAAAACAATGTCTCCATGTTTCTACTTTGAGTAACTCAGCTGTGACCTCTCTTCACACCATTAAGGAACTTCTACTTATCCAGTCCAGAAAACCAAAGCTTTCTGTTCTCCCTTACTCAAGAGTTGTTTGTTTGTTTAATCCAATTTAATCTGTTGACCACAGACCATGTAGGTAATTGTAAAAGACCTACTCTCAGGTTTTCATTGGCAGAACCTGAGATAAAATCCACGGAGACAAATGTAGACAGCGTTGTTTCTGTGGCAGTTTCTGCTTGATTTCTATTAGGTTGATGTCTGCATGGTTTCCTGGTTTCTCTTGCTTCCAGTTTCTCTTTTCCTCTAGGCTGCATGTTTATTTGCTCTGTTTTGGTTTGGTTTCACTATGATTTTGCTTTTATTTTTTGCTAAAGATCAGCAGAAATGCATATTTTTATTAGCAAAGGTTCAGCACCATGCAGACATAAACAACTAAGAGGTATAATTTCATGAATTTGATTGTGACAATGGAGAGAAATCAGAAGGAGGAGATAAATGGTGAGCAGCCAGTCCATCCAGGCTTTGGGAAACTTTCCAAATAGGAGGCCAAATGTGAAAGAACAACAAAAGGGGAAAGAGGAGATAGGCAAAACAATCTGGCTGAGCACTGATGGATCCTTAAAAGTTCTTGCCCTTGACTTTATAAATTTATTTCTTATTAATGGTGGAACATTTTCTTGGACACTGATAAGTCAAAATATGAATGCATCTCCACTCTGCTCCCCTTAAACCTGCCTTGCTGTGTAAGTGAACCATATCCTCATTCTCCCAGAGCTGTACTGCTTCTTTACAAACCATGGAAACCTCACTCTTCCCCCACAAGGTTACTAAGTTCTGTATGCATATGTAGGGCCTCTTATTCTCCCCGGATCATTCCCAAAGCCAACACTTGAATTCAAGCCTTTAGTCTCTCTTATCAAAGTTCAATTCAATCTCCCAGATTCTGAACTCACTCATGCTAATCCATCCTACAGAATCTTAATAAATGATTTTATACAAATCACTGTCACTCTCCTGCTTAAAACCTTTAGCTGTTTTCCTCCTGCCTGACATGTTAAATGCCAGCTTCTCTGCTTGAATGTAAAGCCTCACACAACATGGCTCTGACTCACCCTTCCAGGCTTTGTTCTGACTGTTCCCCTTTGTGTTCCCAATGGTCCCATCCCAGAGATAAATCATTCCCTCTTGCTGGAATGTCCCCTTTACCATTCTCTTTCAAAATCCTCCCCATCCATCAAGGTCCATGATGATGGCTAACATGCTCTCATCTTCTCCCCTCCTCTGAGCTTCAGTAGTACTTTGTGTGAATGTCTCTCAGGATACCTACTTTATTTATTTCATTTTTATGTATTCTTTGTGGCTGTCACTTTTCCTGCTAGGTTTTAGTTAGATGAAACAGTGAGGACGTGATTAAAAATATGGGTTTAAATCTTTGCCCCTTAACTCCTGTGGGGCCTTGCGCAATTACTGGACTTAAAACTTAGTTTTCTCATCTGTAAAATGGAGATGATAACAGTATTTGCTTCATACAATTGTTGTGAAGATTATATAAATTAATACATTTAAAACATATGAAAGAATGCCTGCTCCATAATAAGTACTCAAAAGTGCTTATTTGTAGTATTTATTTTATCTTAATAACTCTCACAATGTCAAGAGTATAGCCTTGTATGTAGCAAATATTAAAAAGACAGCACAGGCAAAGGAGAAATGAAATCACTGAAATAATGACAAGAAAAAGCAAAAAAGAAGGAAGCAAGAAGAGAGGAAGGAGAAAAGGAAGGAAGGAAGGAAGGGAAGGAAGAAAGGAACAAAGGAGGGAAGAAGGGAAGGAAGGAGGGAGGGAAGGAAGGAAGGAGGGAGGGAAGGAAAGAAGGAAGGAGGGAAGGAAGGAAGGGGGAGGGAGGGAGGGAAGAAAGGAAGGAATAAAGAAAAGAAGGAAGGAAGGAAGGAGGGAGGGAGGGAGGGAAGGAAGGAAGGAAAATATTAAAGCTAAGAAAGAGAGGAGTTACACTAAAACCATTTTAATACTAAATTTGGACAAATAATTTTGTCCTAGTCTGTGTTTCCATAACAAAATATCAGTCTGGGTAATTAATGAAGAATGTAAAATTATTTATCACAGTTCCAGAGGTTGTGAAGTCCAAAATCAAGGTGCCGGCAGGTTCATTACCTGGTAAGAGTCTGGTCTCCTCCTCCAGGATGGCACCTTGCACACTGTTCTCCTCAGAGGAGAAGAATGCTGTGTCCTCTATGGCATAAGGTGGAAGGGTAAAAAGAGACAAAATCCCTCTGTCAAGTCCTTTTACAGGGGTACCTAATCCCATTCGCAAGGGAAAAGCTATTATGGACTAATTACCTCTTAAGGGCCATATCTCTTAATAGCGTTATATTAGTCATTTGGCCATTAAGTTTGAACACCTGAATTTTGGAGGGGACACATTCAAACCACAGCACATTTCTATTGCAGTAAGAGGTGCAAGGCCTGAAGTATTTTTTCAATGTAATGCAAAGAAGCAGTGCTTCACCATAATATGATGCATATTTTTTCAATATAATGAAAAGAAGTAGTGTTTCACCATAATATGATGCATTAGTTATACAAAGGACATTCACATAGCTTATTTCATACATAGGACAGAAAGTACTTGCACACAAAATAAGGAGAAAACCATGTACTAATATTTCTCTGGAGCACTATGTTACTTCACTGGACAAATCCACTGAAAACACATGCACACACACATACACACACAGATGCACAAAGAATCACAAACAAACAAGCACAACTCCACAAAGTTTACCATCTACTTCATCTCGATGTTCTGAAGATGTGCTGGTTGCTGATAGTTCAAAGCTGCATAAATGAAAACAACATGGCAATATGTCCTGAGCAGATAAAATTCTTCTTACTCAAAAAACCCTTGGATGGTTTAAGGTTTGTATATATAAACAAATGACATTTTCAAAGTTAGCTTTCAAAATGCATTAATGCAGCAGCATGTAAATTTTCTGCCTTCAATCACATTTAAAATGACAAGAATGAATGAGAATTATTGGAACTGCAGGAATCAAGTCACAATTTGGAAACTGCATGTTATGTATGCTAAGTAAACTGAACAAGATTGACATCCAAGCAAACATTAATACAATCAGAAAACTCTGCAAGATGAAAGAGCTAAAACAACGGAGGGAAAACAAAAGAAAATGGACAAAAGAATTTTAATACAATTTTGTTTGAAACTGAATGAATAAATCTAGGGAACGAATTACCTATCACTTTAGAATTTTTTGCATAATATGATTACCATAAAATGACAGTCATGGAATACACAAGCTTTGAAATTTGACCCAGTGTCTGGCTAATAAGGCTATTTCTCTCTACCGTGAGAATGTTTGGAAAGATACAACATAGCCAAAAGTAAATGAATAATCCACTCTCTTCCTCACCCCTAAACCTGCTGTCTTCTACCTTCTGCCTAAAATGACCCTCCAGTTGTGCCTGTCCCAGCTACCCTCATCATCATAGTGCACCTAGAAATTCCTTCTCTTCTCTCAAGTCTCTGATCAAGACACATAACTTCTCTCACTGCCCCCATACACACTAATTTCTTTCCCTGCAAACCTATAGCACTTTTCAAAAAGTTAAATAGCCCACTAAAGTGTCTGACTTTTCTGTCCTCCTTACCAGCCTATAGCAGAGGTTTACTCAAAGTTTCTCTGTTCCCAGCAGCTGCCCCTTCCTGTGGCCATCTTCTCTGCCTATCTAAATCCTGACCTTCAGGTTTAGTTCAAAATATCTGTCTCCCAGGAAGCCTTCCATGAACCCCTGGCTTGATTCATATGCCACTCCTCAGTGCTGTGCACATTTCTCTCACAGAATGTAACATGTACTGAAATGATCAATTTTCCTAGAGTCATTAGATTATAGTCATGTTTCTCCATATCCATATCTATAGCATCTAACATAGTATATGGCCTATGGCGTGCTGAGTAAATGACAAGCCGAATGCCTTATTTCTTAGCCAAAATTAATTCATTCTGTTACTATTCTTCTGGGAAGAGGTGGAAAATAGGAAAAAAATTTTAATTCTGAAAGGTTATTCTCTTTGCAATGACAATTGCCTTTTGTTAATCATCTCTATTGTTTTTGCACACAATAATAATAGGAATTATTTTATAACTGAAGCCTCAGAAATCATCTAGAACAAACTGTACAAAAGCACAAAATAATGTGTCAATGACTCAGGGACACTGAAAACTCTATGTGTTCAAAAACAGGCTCAATATTTTTTCTTACACTGCACTTCCATCTTCTTGTATAGTCAATGTATTAGGCCTGTTTTGGAGTGTCTGCCTGTGACAGTTAGTTTTATGTGTCAATTTGGCTAGGCTATGGTTCCCTGCTATTCAAAAACTAACCTAGGTGCTGCCGTGAAGGTATTTTGTAGATGTGATTAGCATCTTCCATCAATTGACTTTAAGTAAAGGAAATTATCCTCAATTTTCTAAGGGGGCCTCAACTAAACAGATGAGAGGCCTGGAGAACAAAACTGAGGTTTCTCTGACAAAACAGAAATTCTACCTCTAGACTGCAGCATCAGCTCCTGCCTGAGAATTTCCAGCCCGTCCTTCTTGATAGCCTGCCCTATGGATTTCAAATTTACCTAGCCAGTCCCCATAATGGCATAAGAGACTTCCTTGTGTTAGATACAAGACATAGATAGATAGATAGATAGATAGATAGATAGATAGATAGATAATAAGTCCTACTCATTCTGTTTCTCTGCTAGAACACTGATTGATACCTTGCCCTACCCATATTTCTTTTTCACGGAAACTATCCTCATTCACAGGTCCAATTGCTTGGACACTAGATCATATGACCATCCCCAGCTCTCTCAGACACTATTGTTTAGACCTAGACCCCAGATGCAAAGGAAGCTATCCATACCCTGGCAGGCAACCTAATTTACTTTGACTTGCTTAAGAAGAATGAAAACAATGAATTTAATTTTTTTCTAGGCATTAAGAATTATAACAAGCAGTATATAGATAAAGGTCAGAGTGACTGAAGACTAAATACACAAAAAAATTCAACTTACAGAAAATAGAGAATCAATGGAAGTATAAAGAAAAGCAGAGACGTCAGGAGGGAGGGAAAGAGGGAGGAAAGAATAAAAAAGAGAAAAAAGAGAAATTTTTGTTAATTTAGTTCCTTGGTCCCTGTATTAGTTCATTCTCATGCTGCTATAAAGAACTGCCTGAGACTGGGTAATTTATAAAGGAAAGAGATTTAACTGACTCACAGTTCCACAAGGCTGGGGAGGTCTCAGGAAATTTACAATCATGGTGGAAGGGGAAGCAAACACATCCTTCTTCACACAGTGGCAGGAGAGAGAAGTGTGGAGCAAAGGGAGAACACCCCTTATAAAACCACCAGATCACATGAGAACTCATTTACTATCATGAGAACAGCATGGAGGAACCACCCCCATGATCTAATCACCTCCCACAAGGTCCCTCCCCCAACACATGGGGATTATAAGTTGGATTACTATTCAAGATGAGATTTTGGGTAGGGACAAAGCCAAACCATATTATTCCACCCCTGGACCCTTCAAAGTCTCATGTCCTCACATTTCAAAACACAATAATGTCTTTCCAATGGTACCCCAAAGTCTTAACTCATTCCAGCATTAACCCAAAGTCTTATCTGAGACAAGGCAAGTGTCTTCCACCTATGAGCATGTAAAATCAAAAGAAAGTTAGTTACTTCCTAGATATAGTTGGGGTACAGGCATTGAGTAAATGTTCCCATTTCTAATGGGAGAAATTAGCCAAAATAAAGGGGCTACAGTCCCATACAAGTCTGAAATCCAGCTGCACAGTCATTAAATCTTAAAGTTCCAAAATGATCTCCTATGTCTCATATCCAGGTCACACTGATGCAAAAGGTGGGCTCCCATGGCCTCGGGCAGCTCTGCCTCTGTGGCTTTGTAGGGACAGTCTCCCTCCAGGCTGCTTTCACAGGCTGCCATTGAGTGTCTGCAGCTTTTCCAGGCACATGGTGCAAGCTGTTGGTGGATCTACCATTCTGGGGTCTGGAGGATAGTGGTCTTCTTCTCACAGATCCACCAGGTGGTGTCCAGTGGGAACTCTGTGTTGGGGGCTCCCACCCCACATTTCCCTTCTGCACTGCCCTAGCAGAGTTTCTCCATGAAGGCTCTGCCCCTGCAGCAAACTTCTTCCTGGACATCCAGGCATTTCTATACATCCTCTGAAATCTGGGTGGAGGTTCCCAAACATTAATTTTTGACTTCTGTGCACCCACAGGCCCAACACCACATGTAAGCCACCAAGGCTGTGGGCTTGCACTCTCTGAAGCAACAGCCCAACATGTTTCTTGGCCCCTTTTAGCCATGGCTGGAGTCGAAGCAGCTGGGACACATGATGCTATGTCCTAAGGCTGCATAGAGCAAGGGGCACTGGGTTTGGCCCAGGAAATCATTTTTCCCTCCCAGGCCTCTTGGCCTGCGATGGGAGCAGCTGCTGCAAAGGTCTCTGACAAACCCTGGAGACATTTTCCCCATTGTCTTGGCAAGTGGCATTTGGCTCCTCATTACTTATGCAAACTTCTGCAGCCAGCTTGAATTTCTCCTCAGAAAATGGGTTTTTCCTTTCTATCTCATGGTCCAGCTGCATGTTTTCCACACTTTTTTTTTTTTTTTTTTTGAGATGGAGTTTTGCTGCGTCACCCAGGCTGCAGTGCAGTGGTGCAATCTCTGCTCACTGCAAGCTCCACCTCCTGGTTCATGCCATTCTCCTGCCTCAGCCTCCTGAGTAGCTGGGACTACAGGGGCCCACCACCACACCTGGCTAATGTTTTGTATTTTTAGTAGAGACGGGGGTTTCACTGTGTTAGCCAGGATGTTCTCGATCTCCTGACCTCATGATCTGCCCGCCTTGGCCTCCCAAAGTGCTGGGATTACAGGCATGAACCGCCGCACCCAGCCAATGTTTTCCAAACTTTTACGTTCTGCCTCCTCTTGAATGCTTTGCCACTTGGATATTTCTTCTGCCAGATACCCTATGTCATCTCTCTCAAGTTCAAAGTTCCACAGAGCTCTAGGGCAGGGGAAAAAATGACACCAGTCTCTTTGCTAAGCATAGCAAGAGTCACCTTTGCTCCAGTTCCCAAGAAGTTCCTCATCTTCATCTGAGGCCACCTCAGCCTGGACTTCATTTTCCACATTCACTAACAGCATTTTGGTCCAACCATTCAAGAAGTCTCTAGGAACTTCCTGACTTTCCCATATTTTCCTGTCTATGGAGCCCTCCAAATCTCTAGGAAGTTCCAAACTTTTCCCACGTTTTCCTGTCTTCTTCTGAGCCCTCCAAACTGTTCCAACCTCTGCCTGTTACCCAGTTCCAAGGTCACTTCCACATTTTGGGGTATCTTTATAGCACCCCACTCCCTCAGGACCAATTTACTGTATTACTCCATTCTCACTCTGCCATAAAGAACTGCCTGGGACTGGGTAATTTACAAAAAAAAAAAAAAAGAGGTTTAATTGACTCACAGTTCTGCATGGCTGGGGAAGCCTCAGGAAATTTGCAATTGTGGCAGAAGGGGAAGCAAACACATCCTTCTTCACATGGTGGCAGGAGAGAGAGGTGCAAAGTGAGGTGGGGAAGCCCCTTATAAAATCATCGGATTTCATGATAACTCACTCACTATCAATGAGAACAGCATGGAGGAACCACCTCCATGATCTACTCAACTCCCATGAGGTCCCTTTTCCAACACGTGGGAATTATAATTTGGATTACAATTCAAGATGAGATTTTGGGTGGGAACACAGTCAAACCCTATCAGTCCCTTATGGCTTTTTGGTTCCACTTCTAATTCTTATTCTTTTCTATAAGGTATTTCAAATAACTCTCTTTTCCTTACAACCAAAATGCTTATGGGCCAAAGTACCCTGGCTCAAAACTATAATATACATCAAGTCTTTTCCAACCCTTTTCATCTTATCAGTCAGCAATTTATATCTCTGCCTATGCTACTTTCCAGATCAAAAATATTCAAAGACTATGTGTTGCCTAAAAATTAAGAGAAAATTTTTTTCATTGTTATTTAAGTTCTTCCATAATATGGCCACTATATGTTTTTTCAAAATTTTGTCTCCGTACATCTCAATTTGCTATTATATTCTTCATTTAAAACTAGGTCCTTTCTACTCTCCAAACACTCCTTATAGTTGTCATCTCTATACTGTTTTTCCCTGCCTATCTTACAAATCTTATCTTCTCATTCCAGTCAATCTCAAATGTCAAATGTTTGTGAGTCCTCACAACAAATGTAATCATTCTTCCCTTGGAAATCCCTTGGCTTTTTTATTTATGATTTTTGGTGCAATAATCACCGTTTCCTAATTTCTCATTATATAATTCTTTTTATCCCACTAAGAATATAAATTCCTTGAAAGCGAGATTGGTACTGTCTCATCTTTACCTCATAGTGTAATGATATGAACACAATAAATACTTTAAAAGTCATCTGTGGATTATCCAAGTGAACAAAACTAGTATGTGACAGGCCAGATGCTAGATCTGTATCATGCACTAAAACTTCACATCTATGCATCAAACTAAATATTGTTGACCTGGGATCTTAAATTATATTTACTTCTCTGGTTTCTAGAATACCTGGATTTAGAAGGATGCAGAAATATCAGCATATCATAAGAAAAATGAAAGAAATTCCTCCTTGTCAGAGAAAAGTCATAGCTACTTACTTTTTCCTCATCCCTTTGCAAACTAAGAAAGAAATGACAATATATTTACATAGCCCTTTGCAATTACAAAACACTCCTTAACATTATTCCCATTTCTTGAATTGTAATAATCCAGTGAAAATACTGAGTTCATTATCATAGTGAAAGGAAAATAAAAACTTGGGACCCCAATTCACTGTGCAAAAAAAAAAAAAAATTAAACTGAAAGCTGGGTCATGTCAGAAGCTGCCTTTTCTTTCATTACTAAGCAGATAGCTGCATATAAAAGGTTAAATATCTCCATAAGTAGCTACTCTATATTCACTTTACCTTAGGTAAAGTGCCAGATTTACCAAGTGCAAGACAAATACATAATTGACTGTTCCCCTGACTGCTCCATTTCTCTTGCAATATGTGGATTCAATAATATGACCATACCCTCTCTCTTTTTTTCTCCAGCCCACTTTTCCTCTTTAAATATTGAAGCCCTCAAAATCATCTTTGGAGAAAGACACAGACCACAGACTGTTTTTGTGATTCTGTGTTTATTTTGTCCAGGCATTGCCCTTAACCTTGGCAAAATAAAATTCTAAATTGATTGAGACATGTCTCAGATATTTTTTGGTTTACATTTCCATTTTCAAGATTCGGTAATTTAGTTTTAGAAAGGCTAAGTGATTTATATAAGGTCATATGGCTAGAAAGTTGAAGAAATAACACAAATCTAGGTCTTCTGATTTCAAATAAAAACTAAATCTCTAGAAATGTGAGACTATATACATAAAAATTTATTAGAAATAATTTGACAGTGAGGCATCTTCAAGAAAGACAGTACATGCAGTCCCAGCTACTTGGAAGGCTGAGGCAGGAGAATGGCGTGAATCCCAGAGGGTGGAGCCTGCAGTGAGCTGAGATCGCGCCACTGCACTCCAGCCTGGGTGACAGCAAGACATCGTCTCAAAAAAAAAAAAGAAAGAAAGAAAAACAGTACAGATTTCCAAAATTTATGACAAACCACCCTCCCTCAAATAAAAAGTAGAATCAGCAAAAATTTCAACCTCTGGAAGAACCTCTACATGGGTAGATTTTCTACTAGATATCATTAATTATCAACATATAAAGCCTTTTCATGGATTGAGGAATTTGCAATGTATTTTTCACTAAAATGCTGATTCTCACTGCAATGTACTGACCACATAAGGTATACTAAAACTCTCCAAAAATAATAAAATGACTTTAGAAATGCTACTATTTTTAACCTGAAATTTTCAGATTAATGAGATGAATCAGTAAAGTAAGATCCCTAAGCATAATGTAAGTACCATGTAGGGGTGAGAGAACTTTTTATCTCTCCTGCAGAGCTTTAATATTTGAGTCTGAGAAATAAACTTGACAGTGGACAGATTAGCAAGAGAAAAGGCATACAAATTTATTATGTGCGTATAAATGAGGGTCTCACAAAGTATAAGAGGCAAAGAAGGGCCGGATGGTTGAAGCTTAAATAGCATTTTGAGCAACAGAAAGAATCAAAGCCTTGAAGACTCCTGGAGGGTGGTGGCAACAGGTTAGGGGAGGGTGCAGGGAAGAACTAGACTGTGAACAAAAAGTGTCTTATTATGCAGATAAGGTCTCTCAGGTAATGGTCCACAGAAAAAGGGGTGAAAAAGTCTATCTGGACATGGTGTCCTGGGCGTGGAGAACTCTAGTCTCCTCTTCAAAAGGAGTTAGTCAGCTAGGCTTAATGTAGATTTAATGGAGGGGGCTCACACCAATCACATTCCTTCTGGAAGAACTTTTCTCAGTAAGATAAGAGAATATCATAGAAAGTCCCTTCCTGTGCTTTGGGAGAAGCAGAGGGTGAGAGACAGGGAGGCAGGAGAATTTCAGAGAGACCTTGGTTCTGAAACTATTTCTTTAGTTCAACATACTCAGCATGTCAGTGCACCATCCTCAGCGGTATCATGTAGAATACCGTACATGTGACTCTGCTGCTTCCATAGATTTACTAAATATTAAGGAAAATGAAAATTTTATGCAAATAGAGAAGAGCCACATAGTTTTAGCTATATATGAAGAGTATTCCTGTTTATTCCAAATTTAAATTTTACACAGTGTCAATAAGTTATGTTCAATCTCATTTCCTTGATATGCTTCCTAGTACAACTTTTCTAACTTATGTATTGGAGATGGCCGAACTGAAGCTGAGAATATCTTTATTCACTAAACAATATGTAGTGAATAAAATTTGTCCACCACTTCAAATGATGTAATAAAACTAGATTGGAAATTAGCATTACTAGCATCTATTGAGTGTCTATGTACCAGGTACAGCCTTAGGTATGTGAGGAGAGCAAAAGTCACCCGGTGACCATTAAACAGGCCACTAGAGACAAAAATTCCTTATCTGAAGAATTTAGAAGGGAGCAAAGACCACCTGGTGACCATCAAACAGGCCATCCAGAAGCAAAACTCCTTATCTGGGAATTTAGAAGGAATTAAACTTCTCTAGTATCTAAAGTCAGCATCTGGTTCCAGGCCACTTTTCAATGTAAATATTATAAGTAACTAGAATTCTTGCACATCTCCAAAATGGCATGCCAAAATTCAGTGTGCAACCCTTGCTGGCATTAAGGCACCAAAATGTCTACAAATGCAATCATTTCTCATGACCTATGTGGCCAATATGGTCAAAATAACCCCTCGGCTCCCGCCTTAAGGTCCATAAATGCTCCTAAGGAATATCTACCATGGCGCACTCACTCCTGTCTCTCTGAGGCACTCCACTGCACCCTTTTACAGTGTTCTTTCTTTCTAAGAAACTTTCCTTTTTCAGACCTATACTTTTGTCAGTAAATTCTTTCTACCAACCTGCAAATGGACCACTTCCTGATGCTGGGGCTCTGACACCTTGCCTGGTAGTAAGTATATTGATATTATCACATTCTCACAACACTGTGTCAAAAGCATTAAACCTATTTCACAAATCAGGAAACTGAGACCCAGAGGAGTTATATAAACATCCAAGATTAACTCAGCTGATACGTAGCAAACTATGGCAGATCTGTAGAGGATCTCATATTTAAATTACAAGTTCAGTGCCCTTTCCACTAAGTACTAGGCCATTCTGTTACAGGTAGTTAGACAGGCATCAGCAAGGCAGCAGAGGGCTCTCCCGCCACCCACTAGGAATATCAGGTGATGGTTCGATAATTATCACACTACCTCTCTAAAGCCAGGGAAAGACAATCTCCTGATGTTTCACAGCTATTAATATTAAAGTGCTAATTGAATGCAGATGCCAGGAAGCAGAAACTTCCTGGGCATGAGCATTAAGAAACAAGATGGTGAAGTATGACCTCTCAGGGACACTCCACCAGAAAAAAGGTAAAAAGCCTCAGATGGGCATATGTACAACTTCCTAAATGCACTGCACACGCTCAATTCCCAAGGGTAAGGTGGGCACTGAGCATGCAGGAAGCCCACCTAAGAGAGGAATCATGGGAAAGAGGTGATCCCCAAACCACCGTGGCACGTGTATACCTATGTAATAAAACGGCACATTCTGTACATGTACCCCAGAACTTAAAGTATAATTTTTAAAAGAAGATAATGTTTTTATAAGATCTTGGCTATTCTGAGAAAATCTATCTCACAATAAAATCAATTTGTTTTGTGTGGAAAAAAAAAAAAAAAGAAAGCCCTAGGATCAAGGTTAAATGCTCTTTTTAACCTTTACATGGTCTCCTCCAAGCGCACCTTTCTTTCTTTCCTATTCTAAAGCCTTTTGAAGTAAATTTCCACCCTTGCTCTGAAGCCTGCCTTGGTCCCTTCTTCTGCTTTATGCCCCTTGGCTGAAGAACGAAAGTTGCTGCAGACATGTATGGATTCTCTGCCAGTAATTCGGGGTAACTGGGATGCATTCCACTGGTAACAGTTCTAGCTGAATGGGCTTTTTTTCTGGCCTTATTCACGAATAGTGGCAAAATGAAAGATTAAAGAATATGAACTAAGGAAATTTGAACTTTGCTTTCATCTCTGCCTCAAAGATGAGGATACAAATTGGCCATGTCTTAGCTGGACAGCTTCCAGAAAGTAACTCAGAAAGGAAGATTTTTTTCTAATCTGTGAAGTGGATTGGAATATCATAAATTACGGTAAACTGGTGGCTTTCCAAGTGAACTCTGAGTGATCTTGAGGGTTTCTAGGAGCAATCTCAAGGGTTCCCAAATATACTTCAACCAGGAAAACATTTTACTATTCTTCCAGACTGGGCTTCTGAACATGAGTCATTTGAATGGAATGTTTCATGAGCAAAGCATCTCTAAAAATCACTAGTACACATTTATTAAGAGCATACAATGTGCCTGAAGCTGGGATATAAATTTTCTTCCTACATCATTTCACCTAAGCTTTAAAACTCTAGTATGCAAGTACTTGTTTCAGAGATAAGGGAACTGTAGCACAGACAGGTAAATTGTCCAAGGCCACACACATTACCATCATGCAGATTGATGTCAATGCCTTCTCCATCACAAAGAGTCTCTAGTGATTTAGAGTTCTTCTTCTCTTCCTGGTATTGAAAGGAAGATGCTCTTACCAACGGAAATTTCCTTTACAGATTTTAATTTTCCTTACAAAAGGATAACCCCCATTCTGTTTTCAGAGCTCCTCCTATATCTGCAATTTCTCAAAATAACCAACTCAAAATAATCCTACACCAAAGAGGCATATTTGGGGTTAGCATATTTTGGTCTCCTACAGTCATAATTTGGGGTCACATATTCTTTTCTGCTACAGGTAAGTAGGCAAGGTTTCTAAGACTTGTTGGCTATTTATCTCCTGTTATACAGAGACTGTTTGGGAAACTTCCCAGCTCTTGTAATGACAACCCACTGAATCCAGAAGCAATAGAGATTCATGATATTTTGGTTTAATGGTGCTCAGGTGACCACCATAGTGGGATTCTCAAAAATTCATGCCTCATTAGGATAAAGTTTAAACTCTTTGCCTCAGAAAAAGTCCTTGCATTTTCCTCATATGAACTTTCCTCTCAGAAAATATTGTTGAACTTGGCTAAAGTCAGTTGATTTTTACTATCACGGCCACCACAATATGTAGCTCCAGGGACCACCATTCACAGAATGGTCAATGCAAGTGACACCACTATGCAGTATCCAGCTTGACCAACAACATGAATTGCAGCTCTGTGCTAGAAGTTTTCTCTATTTTAATGTTTTATATATGATAAATGTAAAAGCTGATCAAGATATGCCTTTGTTTTGCATCTACTTGTTGACCTAAAGGAAAAATCAAAGGCAAAATTAATATAAGTAGAGAGTTTATTTGGACCAAGTTTAAGAACTGCAACCTGAAGCACAAGTAGCCCTGAATATGTGCTCCAATTAGCAGCAGTTACAAGTGGGGTTTTAAAGGAAAAAAAATGAGAGGCAGGTCCCTTGTCATTTACCAATAATTTACATTAAAATAATATAATCTATTAATAGGCTATACACTGCTCTCTGTATCACAAAGTCCAGGAACGTGAAGATAATGGGTGAGGTAGCTAGTCAGGGAACTACAGGGAAGAAAAGAAAGAAAAATAATGTCTTAAACAATTGCCCCTTGGCATGGATGCAGGGGTGTGACTGAAGTCCCATACTCATCTCTCTCTGGGATTAATAAATTTTGGATACCCCACATAGCTCAAACTGCTCTGAGCTATTTTTCTTTTCCATACTTCATAATTTGCTTAGCAAAAACTCATTACCTAACAAAGTTACTAACTGTTGAACCCATTATTTTTACAACTTCTCTATGTTTATTAATCTCTAGTGCTAAAATTGCAATAACAGCAAAAATATGGAACCTCATAGACCAGTGTAAATACCCAGATCTTCAAGACATAAATCTAACTCTGAAAGTGGTATTGAATTTTGATTTCTTATTACATAAGCAATAAAAATATAAAACATCTCTATGCCAGTATAATTCTACCTACTTTTAAACACTGGTAATATTTCTGGAACTGATCTTCTTGCTTTTATTATCATTTTGAAGAAACTTAGCTTTATTTCATTTTCTTTTTGACATTAGTCCAAATCAACAACATAATCAATCTTAGGATAATATCATGCTACATTCAAAACATGACCTAACTTCAAAGCTAAAATCCAAGCAAGACTTTTTTCTTTCTTTTTTTTTTTTTTTTTTTTGTGACAGAATCTCACTCTGTCACCTAGGCTGGAGTGCAGTGGCACAATCTCAGCTCACTGCAACCTCTGCCTCCCAGGTTCAAGCAATTCTCCTGCCTCAGACTCCTGTGTAGCTGGGATTATAGGTGGGCGCCACCACGCCCAGCTAATTTTCGTATTTTTAGTAGAGACAGAGTTTCACCATGTTGGCCAGGCTGGTCTTGAACTCCTGACCTCAAGTGGTCCACCTGCCTTGGCCTCCCAAAGTGCTGGGATTACAGGCATGCACCACCGCATCCAGCCCAAGCAAGACTTTTTAAGGAGGCTAGATATATTATGGCCAGCTTCTATTTATAGTTAGATGTAACTATGTCTAACTAATGTGAGCCATCACATCTGGCCAGGTGTGACTTTTAGAGAGTTAAGTAACTGACCCCAGCAGCTAAGGAGAGGCAGGGAGTTTTACTGGTCCTTGACTCCCATCTAGCAAAGCAATAAAATTGTCAAGCAAAATCTTGGCCATCATAGTATTGACATCTCAGTATTATATTTCAGCTCTCAATTTACTGAGGCAGGAGCTACCTCCTGTGGGTCTTTCAAGTGTTCCTCAATTGTATGTGCCCAAATGTAATACAAAAAAATGGTCAAGAGCACAGTCTCTGAAGTCACGCTGCTTGGGTTTAAATCTCAACACCACTATTTATTAGTTGTATAAACTGACAAATTACTTAACCTTCTTGTGCCCCCATTTCCTTTCCTGTAGGGCAGGAATAATAACAGTACCTACCTTCTAGATTTATTGTAATATTTAAATGAATTAACACATATAAAGTATGAAGAACAGTGTGAAAATAGTAAGCTCTGGGTAAGTGCCTGCTTTCATTAGGCCTTATTGCTCTATGAGGAATACGAAACTGGATTGAACATTCTGATAGATAAGATTGGAGCAAATCACAAAATGACCAATAAGTGGAATGAAACAAATCTGTGGCCAAGCATTAGTTACAATTGGATTAAGTCATCTGAGTTATATAAAATTAGGTTCTGTTTGTGTTCATTTAAAATTAAATGACAAGTTTTCACTAAGGCATCAATATATTACAGATGTTGTACTCCAAAGGAAGTTCTCAACTATATACAGAACATACAAATTCTCTGAAACTGGATACATGACTCTAAACCTCCTGCCCTTACCAAGGATATGAAAGAGTTGAGTTGCTGGAGTATGAAGAGAATAGTTGAAGATTTTTTAAAAGAGGCTTCATGATAGACTCTAAGTCAATTTCCCACTTTTCTCAAGGGGGAAGAGTATGGAGTATCCAATTCTTACCTTACACCTAAGAGGAGAGGGCACTGGTGTGACTGTTTGTTTTTGTTTTTGTTTTGAGATAGGGGCTCACTCTGTTACCCAGGCTGGTGTGCAGTGGTACAATCACAGCTCCCCACAGCCTCAGGCTCCTGGGCTAAGCTATCCTCCCATGTCAGCCTCTCAAGTAGGTGGGACCACAGGCACATGCCACCACACCTGGCTAATTTTCCTATGTTTTGTAGAGACCAAGTTTTGCTATGTTGCCCAGGCTGGTCTCGAACTCCTGGGCTCAAGTGATCCTTCTGCCTCAGGTTTCCAAAGTGCTAGGATTATAGGTATGAGCCACCATGTCTGGCCAGATGTGACCTTTTGGAGAGCTAGATAACTGTCCCCAGCAGCCAAGGAGATGCAGGGAGGTTCACTGGTACTTGATTCCCATCTAGCAAAGCTGTAAGGCCAAAGAAGGTCTGAATACAGTCATGTGCCTCATAATCATATTTTCATCAATGACAGACCACGTATATGACAATGGTCCCACAAGATTATAACAAAGCTGAAAAATTCCTCTTGCCTAGTGATATTGTGGCAGTCCAGGTCTCATTAACACAGGCCTCTGTAACAACTGTTTCAGTACTGAGTGGTTAAGTTAAATATGAAAATCCAGTGCCCTTATACAAAGGCTGGAATATAACAAAAGCCCACCAATAGTTTTGCCTAGGCCTTTCCTGAACCTCAAAGCATGATTAAACAAGTTTTATTGGGGATCTGAAGAAACTCCCCAGGCCCGCACAAACAAGTTTATTGGGAGTCTGAAGGAACTCCCCAAAACTCTGTGATTTAGCAGGAAACAAGATAAGTGTAATCACCCCAGCACCTGGACCCACTTAGATTAAGTAAATGTACAGAGGCTCCAGAGGAAGGTCTTCAAGACTCAGGCCTTAGTTATAGATTAAAAGAAGTTAATCACTTATATCTTTAGATGAATGCACACTTAAACATAGACATATAGCTTAGAAGGTATATAAGCTCTGGAAAACTTTGTAATTTGGAGTTGGTCTGGTGATAATTTCCAGGCCTTCTCCCTGTAACCGGTTACAGAAATAAAAACTCTCTTCCTCCCAAGTTCATCTGCATCTCATTATTGGGCCATGAGAAATAGCATCCAACCCTCAGTTTGGTCTGGGAATAACATCATAGCTGTCATAACATTGTAGGACAACACATTACTCATGTGTTTGTGGTGATGCTGCTGTAGGAAACTACTGTGATGCCAGTCATATAAAAGTATAGCACACACACTCATGTACAGTACATAATACTTGATCATGAAAATGAATGACTGTGGTACTAGTGTACGTATTTACTATATGATACTGTTTATTGATATTTAGAGTGTATACCTCCCACTTATTAAAAAGAAGTTAACAGTAAACAGCCTCAGGCAGGTCCATCAGTGACATACAAAGCATTGTGATCATGTTGTCAGAGGAGATGACAGCTCCGTGTGTGTTGTTGCCCCTGAAGACCTTCCAGTGGGAGGAGCTGTGGAGGTGGAAGACAGGGATATTCTTGATCCTGACCCTGTGTTGGCCTAACTAATGTGTATGTCTTTGTCTTAGTTTTTAACAAAAAAGTTTAAAAAGTAAAAAGTAAAAAATGTTTTAAATTGAAAGAAAAGCTTAAGAACGAGGCTATAAAGAAAGAAAATATGTTTGTACAGCTATACAATGTGTTTTAAGCTAAGCGTTACTACGAGAGTCAAAAAAATTTTTTAATAAAGTTTATGAAGTAAAAAAGTTACAGTAAGCTAAGGTTAACGTATTATTGAAGAAAAAATGTTTTTTAATTTAGTGTAGACTACATGTACAATGTTTTTAAAGTCCATAGCAGAATACATTAATGTCCTACAGCTTCACATCCACTCATCACTCACTCACAAATATTTGATTAGATACACAAATATTTGCCATTGTGTAATACATTTGCCTATAGTATTCAGTATAGTACAGGAGCAAAATCCTATCCCATATAGCCTAGGTGTGTAGTAGGCTATCTTATCCAGCTTTCTGTAAGTACACTCTACAATGTTCGCACAACAAAGAAATCACCTAAGGACACATTTCTCCAAATGCATCCCTGTCATTAAGTCATTAAGTACATGACTCCTTGCTTTAGCAAAGGAATGAAACAAAATTGCTGCTATTTGGGAACTGGCCTGCACTCCCAGAATTTAGGTAAACAATGTTTTGTTTTTGAGCCAGCTGTGAACCTTGCACTAGAGAAAAGGCATGAGACCTGTGTTAGGTGCTCTCTTACAGCCTCTTCAAATGGCACAATCAAAAGCACCAGTAAAAGCAGAGGCAAAATCTGGCCTCACCATTGGAAAAGTCTTCTGAAGGATAAGGGAGTGAATGACTGCTAGAAGAGAATGATTGGCCTTATAAAAGTAACTGCAAATAAAAGAACTCCAGTAATTGGTGGAAGAACTCAGTGATATGCAAATGTCTGATAAAAGTCCATTTTAAATACAACAAGTCTCAAGGAGCACAAAGCCATCTTACAATAGTTCTTGTCAGCTACAACTTATCCTGTTCCTCTTGCCTCTATTTCTTCGGGAGTTTTGAAGAGTCTGTAATTGCAGCTAGTAAGTAGGAGTGGAGTTACCTGAGAAAAAAAGGAGATGACTGTACCTTCTTCTCCCACCAGAAGATGCCAGCCTGTAAGAGATTCCAGATTGGGTAGAGAGTGAGAAATTTTACCTTTGAATAAGATTGGAAGCCTGAATTATTACAAGTGCCTGGGGATTTGCATTTTTAATTACTGAATTGAGACTGTTTACAATTTAAAGTGACTAGATTTTCTACACCAATTGTGTTTCAGATGAATACTATAACCACATTGACGTGGCCTGGTTATGGTGGATGGGGTGGGACTTATCCAAATAATTTATGAATACAGCATCTCACTGAATACCCTCAGTCTTGAGTGTGATGGCTACATGTGTAAGACCCCCAATCTCCTGTCCCTTTACTAAACACCCAGGTGCCAACCAAGCACATATACTGCAAAAAGATTCAAGCAATCATCTAGAGTGAGTTACATCCCCAGGAAGAAAGACCTAGAGAGACTGTCACTGGATGTCCTCAACGACTTGTCCAGGCCCTCACCCGATTTCCCTATAATGAAGGTCACCTTGGACAAACTCCTCTCACACATACAGAGTTTCCAATGCTGTTTTTGATGTCTCTTAAATATAAAAGAAAATCTAAAATGACTGTAAGACTACTAGAAATGTGAGAAAAGCCTCTTACATGAAAAATAGAGATAAAACAAAACACATACTTTAAGGGGAAAAAAGAATATGAGAGAAATAGAAACAATGCTGAACACAGAAGAAAATTTGAAAAAAAAGTTTTCTAAGAAATAAATGAAGGCATTTCATCCATGAAATAAAAACAAAAATAGAAATAAACCCCTCAGGATTCTTAGACTTTAAAAATATTGCCAGGCACGGTGGCTCATGCCTGTAATCCCAGCACTTTGGGAGGTCAAGGCGGGCAGATCACCTGAGGTCAGGAGTTCAAGACCAGCCTGACCAACATGGAGAAACCTCGTCTCTACTAAAATTACAAAATTAGCCAGGCATGGTGGCACATGCCTGTAACCCCAGATACTTGGGAGGCTGAGGCAGGAGAATCGCCTGAACCTTGGAGGCAGAGGTTGCGGTGAGCTGAGATCATGCCACTGCACTCTAGCCTGGGCAACAAGAGGGAAACTCTATCTCAAAAAAAAAAAATGACAAACATATTGGAAAATTCATAGAAGAATTAAAAGATAACATTGAAGAAATCTTCCAGAAAATAGAACAAATACCAAAATTTGAAAAATAGGAAAGACAAATGAAAAAGTTAGAGAATCTGTCATGAGATCTGACACACATCACATAATGAGGGGTCAAGAAAAAGAGACTGGATGCATTACGATGAAGTTTTACAATAATTGTTTCACGGAAATTATTCAAAACATGTATTGAAAGTCCCCACATTGTCCAAATACCTTGCAAAATTAACTTAAAAGATTCACATTATAGAGGCCACGGAAAAACTTTCCTTCACCCTCTGAAGGTTTGCTGAAAAATCACCTCACAAAAGATTGACTGGAGAAAATGCATTCAGATGTGTCAATGTGCAGATAGGGGAAAACCACAGAGTGGGGTACAGAAGTTTATATAGCATCTTGAGGTTATAGAATATAACCTTATAGTATAAGCTTATATACCATCTCGAGGTTATACAAAGGTTGCACACTGCACGCTCAGAGCATGGCCAAAAACGGGTTATGGTGGTAAATCATGTTTAAGTGGTGAGACAGGTTATGAGAAGGAGACGAGACTTGGCTAGCAAAAGGCAGTCTTGTTACATAAATTAAACCCCACAGGCAGTAGCCCTGACAGAGAACAGATGGTAAATGTTTCTTTCAGACCTTAAAAGTGCCAGACTCTCAGTTAACCTTTTCTAGATCTGGACAAGGCAGGCCTGGCTGCATAGATGCAGATGCTCTGCAGATTCAATCCTCTGAGACACAAGACAGCTTTGCAGAATTACTTTGGTTTGCTGGCTTTCTGAACAGCCATCTCAAAATATGTAAAGAAGTATGTTTTGGTGATGTGGGCTCTTTTTTGGTTCCATATGAACTTTAAAGTAGTTTTTTCCAATTCTGTGAAGAAAGGCATTGGTAGCTTGATGGGGATGGCATTGAATCTGTAAATTACCTTGGGCAGTATGACCATTTTCACGATATTGATTCTTCCTACCCATGAACATGGAATGTTCTTCCATTTGTTTGTGTCCTCTTTTATTTCATTGAGCAGTGGTTTGTAGTTCTCCTTGAAGAGGTCCTTCACATCCCTTGTAAGTTGGATTCCTAGGTATTTTATTCTCTTTGAAGCAATTGTGAATGGGAGTTCACTCATGATTTGGCTCTCCGTTTGTCTGTTGTTGGTGTATAAGAATGCTTGTGATTTTTGTACATTGATTTTGTATCCTGAGACTTTACTGAAGTTGCTTATCAGCTTAAGGAGATTTTGGGCTGAGACGATGGGGTTTTCTAGATATACAATCATGTCGCCTGCAAACAGGGACAATTTGACTTCCTTTTTTCCTAATTGAATACCCTTTATTTCCTTCTCCTGCCTAATTGCCCTGGCCAGAACTTCCAACACTATGTTGAATAGGAGTGGTGAGAGAGGGCATCCCTGTCTTGTGCCAGTTTTCAAAGGGAATGATATTGGCTGTGGGTTTGTCACAGATAGCTTTTATTATCTTGAAATACGTCCCATCAATACCTAATTTATTGAGAGTTTTTAGCATGAAGCGTTGTCGAATTTTGTCAAAGGCCTTTTCTGCATCTATTGAGATAATCATGTGGTTTTTGTCTTTGGTTCTGTTTATATGCTGGATTACATTTATTGATTTGCATATATTGAACCAGCCTTGCATCCCAGGGATGAAGCCCACTTGATCATGGTGGATAAGCTTTTTGATGTGCTGCTGGATTCGGTTTGCCAGTATTTTATTGAGGATTTTTGCATCAATGTTCATCAAGGATATTGGTCTAAAATTCTCTTTTTTGGTTGTGACTCTGCCCGGCTTTGGTATCAGGATGATGCTGGCCTCATAAAATGAGTTAGGGAGAATTCCCTCTTTTTCTATTGATTGGAATAGTTTCAGAAGGAATGGTACCACTTCCTCCTTGTACCTCTGGTAGAATTCGGCTGTGAATCCATCTGGTCCTGGACTCTTTTTGTTGGTAAGCTATTAATTATTGCCACAATTTCAGATCCTGTTATTGGTCTATTCGGAGATTCAACTTCCTCCTGGTTTAGTCTTGGGAGAGTGTACGTGTTGAGGAATTTATCCATTTCTTCTAGATTTTCTAGTTTATTTGTGTAGAGGAGTTTGTAGTATTCTCTTCTGGTAGTTTGTATTTCTGTGGGATTGGTGGTGATATCCCCTGTATCATTTTTTATTGCATCAATCCTAAGTCAAAAGAACAAAGCTGGAGGCATCATACTACCTGACTTCAAACTATACTACAAGGCTACAGTAACCAAAACAGCATGGTATTGGTACCAAAACAGAGATATAGATCAATGGAACAGAACAGAGCCCTCAGGAATAACGTCACATATCTACAACTATCTGATCTTTGACAAACCTGAGAAAAACAAGCAATGGGGAAAGGATTCCCTGTTTAATAAATGGTGCTGGGAAAACTGGCTAGCCATATGTAGAAAGCGGAAACTGGATCCCTTCCTTACAACTTATACAAAAATCAATTCAAGATGGATTAAAGACTTAAACGTTAGACCTAAAACCATAAAAACCCTAGAAGAAAACCTAGGCTTTACCATTCAGGACATAGCCATGGGCAAGGACTTCATGTCTGAAACACCAAAAGCAATGGCAACAAAAGCCAAAATTGACAAATGGGATCTAATTATACTAAAGAGCTTCTGCACAGCAAAAGAAACTACCATCAGAGTGAACAGGCAACCTACAAAATGGGAGAAAATTTTCGCAACCTACTCATCTGACAAAGGGCTAATATCCAGAATCTACAATGAACTCAAACAAATTGACAAGAAAAAAACAAACAACCCCATCAAAAAGTGGGTGAAGGGCATGAACAGACACTTCTCAAAAGAAGACATTTATGCAGCCAAAAAACACATGAAAAAATGCTCACCATCACTGGCCATCAGAGAAATGCAAATCAAAACCACATTGAGATACCATCTCACACCAGTTAGAATGGCAATCATTAAAAAGTCAGGAAACAACAGGTGCTGGAGAGGATGTGGAGAAATAAGAACCCTTTTACAGTGTTGGTGGGACTGTAAACTAGTTCAACCATTGTGGAAGTCAGTGTGGCAATTCCTCAGGGATCTAGAACTAGAAATACCATTTGACCCAGCCATCCCATTACTGGGCATATACCCAAAGGAGTATAAATCATGCTGCTATAAAGACACATGCACACGCATGTTTATTGCAGCATTATTCACAATAGCAAAGACTTGGAACCAACCCAAATGTCCAATAATGATAGACTGGATTAAGAAAATGTGGCACATATATACCATGGAATACTATGCAGCCATAAAAAATGATGAGTTCATGTCCTTTGTAGGGACATGGATGAAATTGGAAATCATCATTCTCAGTAAACTATCGCAAGAACAAAAAACCAAACACCGCATATTCTCACTCATAGGTGGGAATTGAACAATGAGAACACATGGACACAGGAAGGGGAACATCACACTCGGGCCTGTTGTGGGGTGGGGGGAGGGGGTAGGGATAGCATTGGGAGATATACCTAATGCTAGATGTCGAGTTAGTGGGTGCAGCGCACCAGCATGGCACATGTATACATATGTAACTAACCTGCACATTGTGCACACGTACCCTAAAACTTAAAGTATAATAATAATAAAAAAAGAAATATGTTTTGGGGTAAAATATTTTTATTTCCTCCAATATAAAGCCACTTCAATGTGAAATTTCACTTTGTGAAACACTGGGAACAAATATAACATCTTAAAAGTTTCCAGAGAAGGAAAAAATAAACAAACAAACAAAAATCACTCATGATGGAATGAAAATCAATACGGTACCACACAAGAGAAAAATACATATTGGATAAAATGCAGCAATGCCTTCAAAAATTCTTAGTAAAATGATATCCAAACTAGACTTCTGAATCTAACCCAACTATCAGTTATGTCTGAGGATAGAATTAAGACATCTTTAGCATGCAAGATCTCAAAAATTTTACCTCCAGTGTACCAGAAAAGAGAAAATGCAATATGCAGAGGAACTTCTAGGATGACAGAGATGTAAGGCACCATGATGTCAGGAGAATTGCAGTTTTAGAAAACAACTAGTACAGATTGGAGTTGATCACAGATTAGCAGATTATGGATATTTTAAATTAAACATTATCTGAGGGTTTTAACATCAGGTACACACTTCTGGTAGAGAAATTAAGGATGTATGATAGTGGCAAGTACACGGTTAATTAAATGAATGCCAAAAATCATCAATATTAATTCCCAAAACAGGGCATAACAATATAAACTGTTCAAAAATGGAAAGGTAATCATATCATGTCACTTCATTATGTGGTGTAGCTCAGATTAATATTTAGTCTTAATAATGTAAAATCTAATCATGTTTTACAATTATGCAATGATAAGAGGTGAAGAGGGCCTAAATTCTTACATTTCTTACTTCAAAGTCAACAAGTAATGTCTAAAACTAAAAAGTCAAGAAATGGTAGCATGAGCATTTTAGAAATAAGAAAATAAATATCAGAACAAATAAGTAAAAACTGTAAAGAATTGCCTATGAATAGACAGAATGAGCAGCAAATAAGGCTGAAACAGAGGTCCTCTTGTTTCCTGTTGTATTAGTCTGTTTTCGCAATGCCATAAAGAACTACCCAAGACTGAGTAATTTATAAAGAAGAGGTTTAACTGACTCACAGTTCCACAAGGCTGGGGAAGATTCAGGAAACTTACAAACATGGCAGAAGGCAAAGGGGAAGCAAAGCATGTCTTATATGGTGTTGACAGGTGAAGCTGGCTGGGCTTCTGGGTCAGGTGGGGACTTGGAGAACTTTTCTGTCTAGCTAAGGGATTGTAAATGCACCAATCAGCACTCTGTGTCTAGCTAAAGGTTTGTAAATGCACCAATCAGCACTCTGTGTCTGGATAATTGGGTGGGGATTTGGAGAACTTTTCTGTCTAGCTAAAGGATTGTAATTGCACCAATCAGCGCTCTGTGTCTAGCTAAAGCTTTGTAAATGCACCAATCAGCACTCTGTCAAAATGAACCAATCAGCACTCTGTAAAATGGACCAATCTGCTCTCTGTAAAATGGACCAATCAGCAAGATGTGGGCAGTGCCAAATAAGGGAATAAAAGCAGGCCATCTGAGCTAGTAGCAGCAACCCACTTGGTCCCCTTCCATGCTGTGGAAGCTTTGTTCTTTTGCTGTTTGCAATAAATCTTGCTGCTGCTCATTCTTTGGGTCTGTGCCGCCTTTATGAGCTGTAACATTCACCGTGAAGGTCTGCAGCTTCACTCCTGAAGCTAGTGAGACTGCAAACCCACCGGGAGGAATGAACAACTCCAGGCGTGCCACCTTTAAGAGCTATAACACTCACCGCGAAGGTCTGCAGCTTCACCCCTGAAGTCAGCAAGACCGCAAACCCACTAGGAAGAATGAACAACTCTGGACATGCCACCTTTAAGAGTTGTAACACTCACCGCAAAGGTCTGCAGCTTCGCCCCTGAAGTCAGCGAGACCACGAACCCACCGGGAGAAATGAACAACTCCGGACGTGCCACCTTTAAGAGCTGTAACACTCACTGAAAAGGTCTGCGGCTTCACTCCTGAAGTCAGCGAGACTGCAAACCCACCAGAAGGAAGAAACTCCAGACACATCTGAACATTAGAAGGAACAAACTCTGGACACACTATCTTTAAGAACTGTAACACTCACCGCGAGGGTCTGCAGCTTCATTCTTGAAGTCAGCAAGACCAAGAACCCACCAGAAGGAACCAATTCTGGACACAGTGGCAGGAGAGAACAAGGGGGGAAGTGCCACACTTTTAAACCATGAGATCTCATGAGAACTCACTCACTATCGCAAGATCAGCATGGGAGAAATCCACCGCCGTTATCCAATCACCTCCCACCAGGTCCCTCCCCTGACATGAGGGGATTAAAATTCCACATGAGATTTGGGTGGGGACACGGAGCCAAACATATCATCTGTCTTAGTCCATTCTGGCTGCTCTTAACAAAATACCATAGATGAGAGTGCTTCTAAACAACAGGAATTTATTTATCACAGTTCTGGAGACTAGGAAGTCCAAGATCTAGGTGCCTGCAAATTTAGTGTTTGGTGACAGCATGAAAACATGGCATGATCAGGAAGATATGTGCAACCTGGATTCACATGACTTTGCCACTTTCTCTTCCAAAGGCAGCATTTCCTTTCAGAGGAGAAGAAAAGGTCAACTCAATCAAGAGGGAATTCTGCCAGCAGACGGCCTTTGGACTTGAACTGCAGCAACAGCGATTCCCTGAGTCTCCAGCCTGCTGGTCCATCTTGCAGATTTTGTGTTTTCCAGCAAATTGCTTAAAATACATCTCTCTCTAACATATGCACACACACACACATCTTATTGGTTGTGTTTCTCTGGACAACCCTGACTATATCAGCTAGCTAGCAACAGTAGCAATAGAACATTTTTTTTTCAGGCGTTTGAAGGTGGTACAACTCAAACAAAACCTTTTGAAGAAAAAAGAATAGGCAAGTCTAAACCAAGCTTATAGAAGATACAGATTAGGACTCGTTGAAAGCAAAAGTGTAAAGAGGACAAAGTTTCAGATTGGTAGACAAGTGCCAAAAGACTGGATCTTACTTCAAATTTCCTCTGCATACAGCCAAAACTCCCTAAAATATCACCATCAAGCTTCTCTTCTACTCTATAATCCGCAGTCACTCCCCACTGAATCTAACGGTCTACTTCGGCCAGAGAATTCCTTACTGCTATCAAGCCGGGAATGCTTAAAGCCCTCCACATGCTTATTCATAATGTCTTCCACCTGGAATGTTCTCCCTTTCTCCTGTCTAGTTATCTACATTCTATCTTTCAAAATTTTGTTCAATTTTGTTTCCTAAATGATACTTCACCAATAACCTCAACTTATGCCAACTTTCTCTGAAATCCCATAGTAATGAATCGTAGATTGTAATGTAATTATTTGTTAGTAATTACTCAGTACTATTAGGTGCATTAGGTCATGTGCAGTCTAGCACAGGACTACTCAAAAAGATGTTCTAAGAAATATATGTTGAAATACACATTTATTAATTGATCATTGCCTGTATTGATATTCATCAAGTTAGTTTCCTTCTTTCACTGCGTACTAAATCTGGCGCTTTCCCTCTCTAGTTTCTGCTTTGTTAAATGTAGACTGGTTTGATTACAACGACTGCTAACAAACTACCCCAAACTCAGTGCCTTGTATCAATACCTATTTTATTATGCTCATAGATTCTGTGGGTCAAAAATTTAAGAATGACTCATTTGGAAGTTTCTTGTACAGGTTCTGTTGTGTCATTACAGTCCAGTTTTGGTTGGGGTTGAAATCGTCCAAAGGCTCAACTGGATGTCAGTGACCAAGATGGGTTACTCATATGGCTGAAAGCAGACCTTGGCTATTGGTTGGGAGCCCAACTGGAGCTGTGGACAGGATTATTTCCACATGGCTACTCCACGTGTCTTGACTTCCCTAGAACCTTAGAGGAGTTGGACTTCTTATATGGCAGCCCAAGGCTCTAAATGCAACTATTTCAGTGAACTTGTTGGAAGTTGCATCACCAGGTGTGACCTAGCTTCAGCATTATACAGCACCATTTTTGTAGTCATTTTATAAAAGCACTAGATAATAGGTGGAAAGATAGATGACTGATAGAGGCAGAGATAGGATTACTTCATTTATAATTGAAATTTAATAGTTTGGTTAACTGACATGTTTTTCACAATAATTAGCAAAGTTATTTAACATGCATTTTAAAGTTTTGCATGGAAAACTAGAAACATTTAAAATGTGATACATGGAATTTTTCTTCCAAGCCCCCCAAAACTGGGCTTAGAATGAGCTAACGTCTACATTCCAGTTCAATTCTGATGGCAATTAAAAAGAATTAATATAAGCCAAAAGTATCAGTTGTTAATATTCAATTTACATTAGATGCATTCAGAGAACATTTACCTAAAACTTTAGTAATAGCAATTTCCAGGCAGTCAGGAAGTAAACCATGCCAAGAATGAATTAATAGAAACTTCATTAAATACAACTACTAAGTAAGTGCATGAAAATAGTACTTCACGAGAGAAATATGTTTAGAATATGCATTCTTTGAGTGCAAAGAGAAAATTAAGATAATTACATTATCCAAAATAATATTGATTGAAGCAATTACATGTTTATGCTGATAAACAGAAAGAAGAAATAGGGATATATGAGAATCCTGTAAATATTAAACCATAAATTTCAAAACACCATGTATGACATTCAAGACTTTTCAATTCTCCTGCCATCCCAAAAGAGCAATATCAAAACTGGACAATCTGGCCTTCTAAAGTGATCTACATTTGTATTGCTGAGGATAGAATCATTTTGACTCTCAAGCCATTATGCCATCCAGTATCTTCTGAGAATAACAGGTGTATGAGGTCCTCCTTTGCATGTCTTCTTTCCTCCCTAGGCCAATGTATAAAGTTTTACACAAGTCTTCTCCAAAAGTTACAATAAAACCATAGCTCTTTCCTGAATCACTTAATTTAATTTGAAGTTTAAAAGGCTCTACTAATTCCAAGGAAACATTCAACTTGTATACAAAAAGAGCACATTACTGTTTTTAAAGGCATTCTAATCACCTCTTATGTAAAGTAAGTTTACTTTTTTAAGGGGAATTATTAGAGTTTCTTCATCGAAGGGAATAGATTATTGTCCTCAGTGTGTAAGTCATTTATTAAATACAAAAGTCAAATTGTTCCAGACAAGTTTCACTTGATCTCCCCAGAAGATTTATGAGGTTTCTGGAAGTTTTTATTAGTTGAAATCTATATTAATCCATTTGCATTGCCATAAAGGAATACCTGAGGCCGGGTAATATACAAATAAAAGAGGTTTATTTGGCTCACAGTTCTACAGGGTGTACAGGCATGGCACCAGCATCTGCTTGGCTTCTGGTGAGGCCTCAGGAAGCTTACAATCATGGCAGAAGGCAACAAGGAAGCCAGCATATCTCATGGTGAGAGGGGACAAGAGAGAGAAGGGAATGAGGTGCCAGACTCTTTAAAACAACTAGCTCTTGTGTAGACTCACACAGAGACAATTCACTCATTATCACGGGGAGAGCACCAAGCCATTCATGAGGGATCCACCACCATGACCCAAACACCTAACACCAAGCCTTATCTCCAACATTGGGAATCACATTTCAACATGAGATTTGGAGGGGACAAATACTTAACTATATCAAAACCTAAAGTGAGACTCACAGTATCTTAAATCAGAGAGTAGCTTAAAGAAACTAGCCTGTGAAGTGAAAATAATGAATGGTATTGCAATTCAGCTACTATTTCTGCCTAAATTCAGATTCCAGGGCTCCTGCCACTTATTTAGAGTGGTAATTTTGGCAAAATTTGAGCTTCGGTTTTGTCCTCAATGAAATGCAAATAATACCTACCTCAAGAAAATGTATATAAAATATTGTAGAATATGTGTAGCCCTAGCACCATATTTGCAGTGGCTTTGTGTTGGTAGCCATTAAGTACAAATGATATGTCTAGCATTGTGCTAAATGTTAGAAATACAAACACGCATAGAATGCCGGCACTGCTTTCGAGAGCTCCAAAGTCTAGCAGGAGAGACAGAACAAGTATATAATTTCTTAAAATAACGATTTAATATGTATCCATCAAAATTCTGTAAAAATACAAAAGGAAAAACACTGTTGAAAAAGAAAGGGTGCAATTAAACTGGGTCTTAATGGAAGAGTAGAAGTTCAAGAAAAAAGGGCATTTGAGGCAGAGTACATAACCAATTTTTTTAAGGTTATGCATATTTCTTAGCCTTTCTGGAACACTGGGTGCATGAAGCCATTTAGCTTGATTTTCCAAAGTAGGAGTTCCACCTACAGCATCTCTCAGCCATTGATTGGCATTTCCAAACTCAGGAAATTTACTATCTTACAAGTCAGTCTATTCCTTTTTTTAACAGCTGTAATTGTTAGAAGATACTTCTCTACATTGAGACAAAAATCCAACTTTATATAACTTCCACTCATTTTTCCTAAATCCACTGTCTGTTCTTTCAAAGAGTAGAATACCTGTAATCAAAATTCTTTAAAATCATGATGACCTTTTAATTAAACCTAATTATGTGATGCATCAAACAAAAATAAAAAAGGATAATTTCTCAGATCTTGCAGATTCAACCTACAATGATCAAAACTAACTTGCAACATAATTTTTCTCATTGATAAGTATTGGCAATTAAGTTTAATGCAACATGTGGACTTGAACATAGTTTCTCAATTGGATTTGGACTTCCTGACACTTTTATCTGTCTCTTGAGTGTAGCCTGCCTCTATTTACCAGGATTAAAAAATGAAATGATAAATGGCTCCCTAAAAGGACTACTAGGTAAAACTAATAGTTGTGAAATTTTACTATTAAATGTCGATCTTGCTCTTATCCTGCAGTTGGTTCTAATACCTGTGAAAGTCTTAGAGCTTTCATGGGTAGGTTCCTGGCAATTAATAGTTTCTGGCACTAGAATTATTTTTTGAATCAAATCAAAGCTATTTTATAGCAAGATGATTTCAAAGACACCCTAGAGAAAGGATTTAGAGCAATTCAGACCCCCTGGAGTAAACACAGCTCAAGTAATGGTTTTTTTATATTGACTGGTTGGTTGCCAATTTGAGAATATTACAAAAAAACACTGAAGGAATATATCTGTACTAGGAAAAACAAATTAAAAGCCATTCTGCTGCAGATATATATATATATATGAAATATATTAATAATAAACTACGCTGCAGCTTAAGAATGAAACTGAGTTGATTATGCAGCAAAGTAGGTGGATGTTTAAAGTCTCAAGTACTTGAACTGTCAGTAAAAATTACATGTTATGTATCCTCGGACCATCAAAAAATGTTATTCTTTAAGTAACTGTAGCTTCTGTGCATGCATTACATTCATTTAAGCCTCTCCATCTCAGTAAGTAGCTTCCTCCTATTGCTCACTTAAAAGTGCTCCTATGAGCACCTATCTGTTTTTCCTGCATATTGATGAAGGTAATCAGGATAGAGCTTGCAGGCTTTTCCTGAAAAGTAATTACACAAATATAATAAATATGGTTTGTCTCTTGACCCAAATATATTTAGAAGTGTAAGAAATGCTCAAGCTGGCCCAGCACAGTGGCTCACACCTGTAATCCTAGCACTTTGGGAGGCCAAAGCAGATGGATTTTTTAAGCTCAGGAGATTAAGTAGCCTGGGCAACACGGTGAAACTCCGGCTGTACCAAAAATACAACAAATTAGCCGGGCATGGTGCCACTTTCCTATGGTCCCAGCTACTTGGGAGGCTGAGGTGGGAAAGTCACTTGAGCCTGGGAGGTGGAGGTTGTGGTGAGCCAAGATCCTGCCACTGCACTGTAGCCTGGGTGACAGAGCGAGACCCTGTCTAAAAACAAACAAAAATAAAATAAAATAAATGCTCAAGCCATAACAACCTTAAATGAAACCATACATCTATATTCAAAATATATCTCCTAGATACAACTTTAATGTAACAACTGACATTTGTAAAGAACATGGTGCATATGATATTGCTTTATAATTATAACCAGTTAGAATTTTCAATCTGATTATTTTCAAAATCAAAACATTAAAATTCTAGTTTCATTAATCATTTACGTATCTCTGCTTTTGGTAGAACCATTTATTAGGTAATTATTTTATGCCAGATTATAAGAGGGAAAAACCTTAAAATGCTCCATTGAAGAACATTGCAAAAGAAACAAAATTAGCTGAAAATTAGGGCACGTTTTATTGGGCTACTGAGTGGGCCTGCAACAACGCCAGCACTATACCCTCTCATATTGTATTTGTCCTAGGAAAGGAAGTGCAGAGTTTATGTAGTTTGGAAGAAATAGAAGTTCTGCTCTAGAACATTATTTGAGTTATCTTCAGTTCCATCGTGCCAGGGTAAATGAATGAACTATTTCATAACAAGCCCTGCAGACAAATAATATTACAAGCTTATGGCTTAATAAGTAATTGCTGCATAGGTGACCCTAGAGAGTCCTTGCCTCCAAGTCAGCAGGCAGAAAGCAGGGGCAGAACAGATGTTGCAATCTTCTCAAGTTAAGGGATACCTCAGGATACCTCACAATGTTTCCCCAACAGTGTGGTGTTTGAAGTTCTCTGTGGTCTGACCCCACCCTAAATCATCTGTCCTGTTAGACATGCTATGTGGCCTATGGTCTATTCTCATAGACTGTCACCCCACACATACCCTGCCCTCTACCAACTTAATACTAAGCAGAATTAAAGTAGTATGAGTTGAACTATATAAAATAGATATATAGGGGAAAAACAGTGAAAGGAAACATACTAAATGTTTCAGTGGTCACCTCTCAGAGACACTATGTTTCCTTTTTGTCACATATTACTAAATGGACATCTTCTTTGTTTCTTTTGTGAGCCAAAACATTATTTTTTTAATATTATTATTATACTTTAAGTTTTAGGGTCCATGTGCACAATGTGCAGGTTAGTTACATATGTATACATGTGCCATGCTGGTGTGCTGCACCCATTAACTCGTCATTTAGCATTAGGTATATTTCCTAATGCTATCCCTCCCCGCTCCCCCCACCCCACAACAGGCCCCAGAGTGTGATATTCCCCTTCCTGTGTCCATGTGTTCTCATTGTTCAATTCCCACCTATGAGTGAGAACGTGCAGTGTTTGGTTTTCTGTCCTTGCAATAGTTTACTGAGAATGATGATGTCCAATTTCATCCATGTCCCTACAAAGGACATGAACTCAAAATTTTTTATGGCTGTATAGTATTCCATGGTGCATATGTGCCACATTTTCTTAATCCAGTCTATCATTGTTGGACATTTGGGTTGGTTCCAAGTCTTTGCAATTGTGAATAATGCCACAATAAACATACGTGTGCATGTGTCTTTATAGCAGCATGATTTATAGTCCTTTGGGTATATACCCAGTAATGGGATGGCTGGGTCAAATGGTATTTCTAGTTCTAGATCCCTGAGGAATCGCCACACTGACTTCCACAATGGTTGAACTACTTTACAGTCCCACCAACAGTGTAAAAGTGTTCCTATTTCTCCACATCCTCTCCAGCACCTGTTGTTTCCTGACTTTTTAATGATTGCCATCCTAACTGGTGTGAGATGATATCTCATTGTGGTTTTGATTTGCATTTCTCTGATGGCCAGTGATGGTGAGCATTTTTTCATGTGTTTTTTGGCTGCATAAATGTCTTCTTTTGAGAACTGTCTGCTCGTGTCCTTTGCCCACTTTTTGATGGGGTTGTTTGTTTTTTTCTTGTCAATTTGTTTGAGTTCATTGTAGATTCTGGATATTAGCCCTTTGTCAGATGAGTAGGTTGCAAAAATCTTCTCCCATTCTGTAGGTTGCCTGTTCACTCTGATGGTAGTTTCTTTTGCTGTGCAGAAGCTCTTTGGTTTAATTAGATCCCATTTGTCACTTTTGGCTTTTGTTGCCATTGCTTTTGGTGTTTCAGACATGAAGTCCTTGCCCATGCCTATGTCCTCAATGGTAATGCCTAGGTTTTCTTCTAGGGTTTTTATGGTTTTAGGTCTAACATGTAAGTCTTTAATCCATCTTGAATTAATTTTTGTATAAGGTGTAAGGAAGGGATCCAGTTTCAGCTTTCTACATATGGCTAGCCAGTTTTCCCAGCACCATTTATCAAATAGGGAATCCTTTCCCCATTGCTTATTTTTCTCAGGTTTGTCAAAGATGAGATAGTTGTAGATATGTGGCATTATTCCTGAGGGCTCTGTTCTGTTCCATTGATCTATAGCTCTGTTTTGGTACCAGTGCCATGCTGTTTTGGTTACTGTAGCCTTGTAGTATAGTTTGAAGTCAGGTAGTGTGATGCCTCCAGCTTCGCTCTTTTGGCTCAGGATTGACTTGGCAATGCGGGCTCTTTTTTGGTTCCATATGAACTTTAAAGTAGTTTTTTCCAATTCTGTGAAGAAAGTCATTGGTAGCTTGATGGGGATGGCATTGAATCTATAAATTACCTCAGGCAGTGTGGCCATTTTCACAATATTGATTCTTCCTACCCATGAGCATGGAATGTTCTTCCATTTGTTTGTATCCTCTTTTATTTCATTGAGCAGTGGTTTGTAGTTCTCCTTGAAGAGGTCCTTCACATCCCCTGTAAGTTGGATTCCTAGGCATTTTATTCTCTTTGAAGCAATTGTGAATGGGAGTTCACTCATGATTTGGCTCTCTGTTTGTCTGTTATTGGTGTATAAGAATGCTTGTGATTTTTGTACATTGATTTTGTATCCTGAGACTTTGCTTAAGTTGCTTATCAGCTTAAGGAGATTTTGGGCTGAGATGATGGGGTTTTCTAGATATACAATCATGTCATCTGCAAACAGGGACAATTTGACTTCCTCTTTTCCTAATTGAATACCCTTTATTTCCTTCTCCTGCCTAATTGCCCTGGCCAGAACTTCCAGCACTATGTTGAATAGGAGTGGTGAGAGAGGGCATCCCTGTCTTGTGCCAGTTTTCAAAGGGAATGCTTCCACTTTTTGCCCATTCCGTATGATATTGGCTGTGGGTTTGTCATAGATAGCTCTTATTATTTTGAGATACGTCCCATCAATACCTAATTTATTGAGAGTTTTTAGCATGAAGGGTTGTTGAATTTTGTCAAAGGCCTTTTCTGCATCTATTGAGATAATCATGTGGTTTTTATCTTTGGTTCTGTTTATATGCTGGATTACATTTATTGATTTGCATATATTGAACCAGCCTTGCATCCCAGGGATGAAGACCACTTGATCATCGTAGATAAGCTTTTTGACGTGCTGCTGGATTCGGTTTGCCAGTATTTTATTGAGGATTTTTGCATCATTGTTCTTCAAGGATATTGGTCTAAAATTCTCTTTTTTGGTTGTGTCTCTGCCAGGCTTTGGTATCAGGATGATGCTGGCCTCATAAAATGAGTTAGGGAGGATTCCCTCTTTTTCTGTTGATTGGAATAGTTTCAGAAGGAATGGTACCAATTTCTCCTTGTACCTCTGGTAGAATTCGGCTGTGAATCCATCTGGTCCTGGACTCTTTTTGGTTGGTAAGCTATTGATTATTGCTGCAATTTCAGATCCTGTTATTGGTCTATTCAGAGATTCAACTTCTTCCTGGTTTAGTCTTGGGAGGGTGTATGTGTCGAGGAGTTTATCCATTTCTTCTAGGTTTTCTAGTTTATTTGCCTAGAGGAGTTTGTAGTATTCTCTGATGCTAGCTTTGTATTTCTGTGGGATCGGTGGTGATATCCCCTTTATCAATTTTTATTGCGTCTATTTGATTCTTCTCTCTTTTCTTCTTTATTAGTCTTGCTAGCAGTTTATCAATTTTGTTGATCCTTTCAAAAAACCAGCTCCTGGATTCATTAATTTTTGAAGGGTTTTTTGTGTCTCTATTTCCTCCAGTTCTGCTCTGATCTTAGTTATTTCTTGCCTTCTGCTAGCTTTTGAATGTGTTTGCTCTTGCTCTTCTACCTCTTTTAATTGTGATGTTAGGATGTCACCTTTGATCTTTCCTGCTTTCTCTTGTGGGCATTTAGTGCTATAAATTTCCCTCTACACACTGCTTTGAATGTGTCCCAGAGATTCCGGTATGTTGTGTCTTTGTTCTCCTTGGTTTCAAAGAACATCTTTATTTCTGCCTTCATTTCGTTATGTACCCAGTAGTCATTCAGGAGCAGGTTGTTCAGTTTCCATGTAGTTGAGCGGTTTTGAGTGAGTTTCTTAATCCTGAGTTCTAGTTTGATTGCACTGTGGTCTGAGAGACAGTTTGTTATAATTTCTGTTCTTTTACATTTGCTGGGGAGTGCTTTAGTTCCAACTATGTAGTCAATTTTGGAATAGATGTGGTGCGGTGCTGCAAAAAAATATATATTCTGTTGATTTGGGGTGGAGAGTTCTGTAGATGTCTATTAGGTCCACTTGGTGCAGAGCTGAGTTCAATTCCTGGGTATCCTTGTTGACTTTCTGTCTCGTTGATCTGTCTAATGCTGACAGTGGGGTGTTAAAGTCTCCCGTTATTATTGTGTGGGAGTCTAAGTCTCTTTGTAGGTCACTCAGGACTTGCTTTATGAAACTGGGTGCTCCTGTATTGGGTGCATATATATTTAGGATAGTTAGCTCTTCTTGTTGAATTGATCCCTTTACCATTATGTAATGGCCTTGTCTCTTTTGATCTTTGTTGGTTTAAAGTCTGTTTTATCCGAGACTAGGATTGCAACCCCTGCCTTTTTTTGTTTTCCATTTGCTTGGTAGCTCTTCCTCCATCCTTTTATTTTGAGCCTATGCACGTGAGATGGGTTTCCTGAATACAGCACAGTGATGGGTCTTGACTCTTTATCCAATTAGCCAGTCTGTGTCTTTTAATTGGAGCATTTAGTCCATTTACATTTAAAGTTAATATTGTTATGTGTGAATTTGATCCTGTCATTTTGATGTTAGCTGGTTATTTTGCTCGTTAGTTGATGCAGTTTCTTCCTAGCCTCGATGGTCTTTACAATTTGGCATGATTTTGCAGTGGCTGGTACCTGTTTTTCCTTTCCATGTTTAGTGCTTCCTTCAGGAGCTCTTTTAGGGCAGGCCTGGTGGTGACAAAATCTCTCAGCATTTGCTTGTCTGTAAAGGATTTTATTTCTCCTTCACTTATGAGGCTTAGTTTGGCTGGATATGAAATTCTGGGTTGAAAATTCTTTTCTTTAAGAACGTTGAGTATTGGCCCCCACTCTCTTCTGGCTCGTACAATTTCTGCCGAGAGATCCGCTGTTAGTCTGATGGGCTTCCCTTTGTGGGTAACCTGACCTTTCCCTCTGGCTGCCCTTAACATTTTTTCCTTCATTTCAACTTTGGTGAATCTGACAATTATGTGTCTTGGAGTTGCTGTTCTCGAGGAGTATCTTTGTGGCATTCTCTGTATTTCCTGAATCTGAATGTTGGCCTGCCTTGCTAAATTGGGGAAGTTCTCCTGCATAATATCCTGCAGAGTGTTTTCCAACTTGGTTCCATTCTCCCCATCACTTTCAGGTACACCAATCAGACGTAGATTTGGTCTTTTCACATAGTCCCATATTTCTTGGAGGCTTTGTTCATTTCTTTTTATTCTTTTTTCTCTAAACTTCCCTTCTCACTTCATTTCATTCATTTCATCTTCCATCGCTGATACCCTTTCTTCCAGTTGATCACATCGGCTCCTGAGGTTTCTGCATTCTTCACGTAGTTCTCGAGCCTTGGCTTTCAGCTCTATCAGCTCCTTTAAGCACTTCTCTGTATTGGTTATTCTAGTTATACATTTGTGTAAATTTTTTTCAAAGTTTTCATCTTCTTTGCCTTTGGTTTGAATTTCCTCCTGTAGCTCGGAGTAGTTTGATCGTCTGAAGCCTTCTTCTCTCAACTCGTCAAAGTCATTCTCCGTCCAGCTTTGTTCCGTTGCTGGTGAGGAACTGCGTTCCTTTGGAGGAGGAGAGGCGCTCTGCTTTTTAGAGTTTCCAGTTTTTCTGCTCTGTTTCTTCCCCATCTTTGTGGTTTTATCTACTTTTGGTCTTTGATGATGGTGACGTACAGATGGGTTTTTGGTGTGGATGTCCTTTCTGTTTGTTACTTTTCCTTCTAACAGACAGGACCCTCAGCTGCAGGTCTGTTGGAGTTTGCTAGAGGTCCACTCCAGACCCTGTTCCTGGGTAACAGCAGCAGTGGCTGCAGAACAGCAGATTTTCGTGAACCGCGAATGCTGCTTTCTGATCGTTCCTCTGTAAGTTTTGTCTCAGAGGAGTACCGGGGCGTGTGAGGTGTCAGTCTGCCCCTACTGGGGGGTGCCTCCCAGTTAGGCTGCTCAGGGATCAGGGGTCAGGGACCCACTTGAGGAGGCAGTCTGCCCGTTCTCAGATCTCCAGCTGCGTGCTGGGAGAACCACTGCTCTCTTCAAAGCTGTCAGACAGGCAGGCACATTTAAGTCTGCAGAGGTTACTGCTGTCTTTTTGTTTGTCTGTGCCCTGCCCCCAGACGTGGAGCCTACAGAGGCAGGCAGGCCTCCTTGAGCTGTGGTGGGCTCCACCCAGTTCAAGCTTCCCAGCTGCTTTGTTTACCTAAGCAAGCCTGGGCAATGGTGGGTGCCCCTCCCCCAGCCTCACTACCACCTTGCAGTTTGATCTCAGACTGCTGTGCTAGCAATCAGCCAGACTCTGTGGGCATAGGACCCTCCAAGCCAGGTGCGGGATATAATCTCATGGTGCGCCGATTTTTAAGCCCGTCGGAAAAGCACAGTATTAGGGCGGGAGTGACCCGATTTTCCAGGTGCCGTCTGTCACCCCTTTCTTTGACTAGGAAAGGGAACTCCCTGACCCATTGTACTTCCTGAGTGAGGCAATGCCTCACCCTTCTTCGGTTTGCACACGGTGCACTGCACCCACTGTCCTGCACCCACTGTCTGGCACTCCCTAGTGAGATGAACCCGGTACCTCAGATGGAAATGCAAAAATCACCCATCTTCTGCGTCGCTCATGCTGGGAGCTGTAGACCGGAGCTGTTCTTATTCAGCCATCTTGGCTGCTTCCAACATTATTATTTTTAACTCTTCCTCTGAATGTAGAAATATGTTTCTTTATGCCCACACAGTCAAACATTTCTTGCATCTTTCTAACAAAGGCAGAGTAAAATATAGCAGAAATAAGCAACTATATTTTCTATTTTCTGTATTAAATAAACTACAGTCATCTTTTTCTATTTCTGACACATAAAATTATACAGTAAGTATTCCGTTTTTTCTTTAATCCAAATTGTGGTGATGATGGCAGGGTATGGGGGTGGCGTAGAATTATCTTCTTAATGGAAAAGGTGGTTTTTTAAATCTCTTGCCTGCTTCACTAAAAATTGAATCAGATCATCTCTAAAGCCCCTTCTGGCAATAAAATTCTATGATTCTAAGTTCATTTCTATATTCAATCTCAGTTACCTGTTTCACTTGGTATTTTGCATGTATTTGAATATTGCTACCTGCTTGTCTGTCCTTGATTCAACTTTTTCGTAAACTTTCCCCAAATTCTGATACAATTGAGTTAGTTCAACTTTAAAAGTGTGTTAAAAGTCAGCTAGCAAAACTGTTTGATGCTTAATAACATTATCTTTAGTGGCATGGAATTAAATTAACTTGTCTTCCACCCTGAAATTTTGATGCTTAACATTATTTCCATTTCTCTAGAACAGTTACCTTGAAATTGTGATGTGTGACAGGTTGGAGTTGTATACCTTCTTATCATTCACTTTTCTTGACAAATTTATGAGAAAATTGCTTTGTTACTGGGATGAATGTATAGAAGCATTACATGTGAATATGTGGATGTGACAGAATGTATGCCCTTTGGATAGCAATGTATCCACCCAGGTTGCATTTATTTAGAATTCATAAAAGGAAGAGAAATATCTCATAGTTTATCTTTCTCTTCAAGACTAACAGGACAGCTACTAGACTCAGGATGTAGGGGCCACAGAAGATTATCAAAATGGGCAAGATGTGCTGTGGGCAGTCTGCCCTGGGCCAATGCTCCCTGGCTATCTTTCATAAGAAGTATAAGTTTAAGAATGCTCTTGTCTTTTACATCCAGTTGATAGATTCTGATAAACAAAAAACAGAAATTATTTCAAAATGTATTCACCTATTGTTATTCCTTTTAATGGCCAGAAAGGAAAGAAGCACTAGGATGTAAATTCCACAAAGAACAACCTGATGGCTTCATCCTGCCAGGTACCCCTCATGATGAGCACAGTGCCTGCACATGGGTTGAATTACAAAATGAATGAGTGAGTGAATGAATGAGAAAAATAAGTGAACTATAAAATTTTAGATTAAGAAGAAATGTTTAAGGTCAAAATCTTTATATATATTAATGCTTTCAGATAAATCACACCAATAAATAATGTTAAAGTGAGACTCAAAGTTGTGGTCTCTCAATACATTTTTGTCTATTCTGCTCTGTTCTCACCTGCCTCTTTTTATTTTTAACTTTATCTCAATCCTTGAGTACACACATCATAGATAAATATATGTTTGCTTTGGAACTCATAATGCAGAGAAAACACATGTTGAATGATCTAGCTGGAAATATTTTTTAATTTAATACTTGTTGAGTTCTGTTTTGTACCAGACACAATGCAGTAAGAAGCAAGTTCTCCTTAAAGAGAGAACATTTAAATTGAAACCTGAAAGATGAGGAGGAGGGAAGGAGAGAACGAAGAGTACATATAAACACCTTGAGTCAGAAAAAAAAAGGCTTGTGCATTTAAAGAAACTGAAGGAAGGTGAGAGATACTTGAGCATCATGAGCCAGGGTAGGGAGAGATGAGATGAGATGGTAAGGATAAGCTTAGATTATGTAGGATTGCGTGGGCCACCAAGAGGGGTTTGAATGTTGTTTGAGAAAATACAGACTCTAAATGCCCTTATAAGGCAAAGCATATTGGACTATTTTCTGATTTTAGGAGCTATGATTGTTTTACTTTACTCCAAATAATTATGGGTAATATTTATTTAGTGCTTTACAGGGCTGGGATGGGGGTAAAGGGAGCAAGGACTAAGACATTGCCTTGGGTACAAAATTTAAGAGGATGCCAAAAAACTCAGTAAAGATAGGTAATATTATAAAAAATCAAAATCTATGATAAAATATTAAAATTTTAATCACTATTGTATTATTACTATATATTTATATATTATTGTACATTATTTATACCTCATAGTTCTTCACTTAACTTATATAATGCTTATTTTAATATTTATCTTATTTTTTCTGAAAAATTATAAATTTGGGGGTATTAGGATGTAGGGGCAGGACATGATACCTTTCCTTGTCCATCATAAGCATCACAATCAACACTCCTATAACAAAAGACAGGTTAATGAGAGAAAACCATAACAAATTTATTTAATCAAAGTTTTACATAACATAGGAGACTTAAGAAATGAAGACCCAAAGACCCAGGGAAAACTGTTCTTTTTTATGCTTAGATTTGATGAAGAATGAAAAGCTGTATAGAAATGCGATTGGACAAAAAGAGTATGAACTGATGGTAACAGACTGGGTGGTGGGGAGGCACCCAGCAAGGCCTATCTGTTCAGATTCTTCTTGGCTTCTTTGTGCAACACTCCTACCTCCCAGGTACGGGGCAGGACCTTCCTGGAACAAGGATCTTATGACCCACTATCAGGCAAAGTAGATCAGAAAATTTCTTTATGGCCAGCTCCTACACAGATAGGTAAGGAAGGTTAGGGGTAGTATTTCTAGATATTGTGGTTTCTGTGGGGGAGGGAAGCTCTAGTTTCTATGACCCACCTTGTGGAAGATGAGTTCTGTCTACAAGTTGTTTCAGGGGAAAAAGAGGGGTGAGAGAGGGAGGGCAGGAGAAGGACAGAGAGAACTTGTTTCTGAGGCCTTCCAATCTATTTTAATTCAAAGTACTCAGCATGTCAAAGCACCATACTATGGGGTATCATGTTCTGAGCTCCAATAAGAAACTGTATCCTACTAAATCTAGCGCTGCTTCTTGCTATAGAAAATGCTTAATACATGCATCAATAAGATCCTTTTGGAACCAGACCAAGAGAGAGTTAGAATTATGGTATATGTCATTGTAAACGTTTGTGTATGTGTGTGTGTGTGTGTGAACATCTCAGGGGAAATGGTTGTGAAAGCATTTATCTTTATCATTTATATTAAGAGAGCTGTCGTTGGCAGGTGCAACCTTTGGCTGACAATGCTGGTCTGACACTTATGAAAGAGGTGGGAAGTGGAGGAGGATTGGGCAGGAAAGACATCAGCTCTGGGAAAGTTTCAGCCAGACCAATGTGGAGCTCAGCATGAAGACTATTGGTTGAGTTCAATGGACAGATATGGTGAACTTTATACCTCCGTTGTGCTCAGTCATCAACTGGGAGTTGCCAAGGAGAATGTGGCAGGGCAGGTATCTAAAGCTGAGACAGATCCTGAAATGACTCACACCTAGAGGTTGTCAAGTAAGTGCACTCCTAGTGCAGGTTTTCTCATGAAGGAATACCCGACTGGCACACTTCCGTGACTACCACAAAGACTACTTGATGAAGTCAACAATAGAAATATGAGGAAGGCACTGGAATTGGTTAGTATTAAGAACCTTTTTTTACATTTGTATTTCCACAAAAATATCTTTTAAACGATCCATCAAATAAATGATTAACACATCTATAATTGCATTGTGAAAACCTATGCCTGCTTGTATTAAAGTTTTAAAGGTAACACAATGTTTTATTCTAAGCTCTGAGAAAGTCTTAAAAACTGGATTTTTAAATGAAATTGTATTTATTTTATTGAAAACCTTATTCAAAGAGAGAAATATGTCTACATAAAAACATCAATTTCTTGTTTTATATATTATCTTGATGTATAGAAATAGGCATTACACTTCAACATCTTTTTAAATGCATTCAAACAGCTTCAAATGGTAATATTTTAAAAATAGGGAAAAATCTGTTTTTTCCTAAGATGGTTCACTTAGATTAAGATGAGTCAGGGGAGAGTAACATGACTGAATAGACACAGCCACATAGAACAGCTCCCGTTGAGGGACCAAGATGACTGGCATGCTTCTAACAGATGTTCAGAGGGAAGGTACCAAGAGTGGACAGACGGAAGACACAGAAGTTGGGATGAAGGGGAGAAAGCTGGAAACCCTGCCTGGGTCTATGGCACGTCAGACTCCTTCCTGGCCCCCAACAGCTCCAGGGGAATGAATGAGTTGAACTGGCAAGAAGCAACCTGTTCTCACCATGGTCTTTGGAACTCCAGCAGGAGGAGACCCCTCAACCACCACAGACACTCGAGTTGTCCAGGATATCTGCTTAGAGAAGTGGTAGAAGCAGCAAGCCAGCTGATGTGGAGCCCAGAGGACTTGGTGTGGGAGTATCCACAGCAGAGCATAGCCAGGGATGGCCATGCCCCTAGGCTTGACTGGCTCCCATAGGAGACGTTAACCCTAGGGGAACTGTCGGACCTGAGCCCTGCGGGGCAGTCTGAGCACCCCTTGGTCTGCTGGCCTCTCCAGGGAATCCAGCCTGGCAACACCTTCTTGCAGGGAAGTCTCACGTGCCCTGGAGGCCTATACCCTAGCTTCTGCACTGGCGGACCATGCCTGACTAGCAGAGAGTTCCAGCAAAGTGACCCCTATGGCCATGCACCAGCCCACATACTCCCTCCCCGTACTGCAGCTTCCCCGGGCCCACGGCAACTCCCAGCAACTCCAACCTGTGTCTGCAGCAGGTTTTGCTTTCCTTGCCCCACCAGCACATGGGAGTTCAGTATGCCCCCACTCCCCCCCATCAATGCCAGCTCTTTGTGGGCACAGAGCTAGCCATCCCTGACCCCATCGGCATCCGGCCTTTGTGCTAACACTGAGCAGAGAACAGCTGATCCTCGCCCATTCTGAGGGATCACTCCTACTTGTGGGAAACAGAGAAGGTAACCAGACTAGCACCTGCCAGCACCCTACCCCTGAGCCAATACCACCTCCAGCATGACCATGCACACAGTAGCCAGCAGGGGCCTCCTGCTCCACCTGCCCCTCAGCTGTGTGGCCTCCACCACTATGGTGAATGCCTACAGGTAAGCAGGCACTGTAGTGAACACCTACAGGAAAACAGACACCTGGGCACTGGCTAACACAGCTACCACACCTCACTTACCACCCCAGCACAGTGGATTTCTAACCTGGAGGAGGCAGACAACAAAGTCGGGGCCCAATACTAGTCCCCAGAGTTAGAGCACACAGTCCAGGAGTTGACTGCTGGCCCCCTAACATTTACAGAAACAAAGCCAGATGGCTGAATTCACCTTATGCCACAATCAAACCCTCAAGGTCATCAAATACGATAAAAAAAAAAAGGTCAGAAATCTCAAAGATTGAAGGTAGTTAAGCCCACAAAGATGAGAATCAGTGAAAGAATCTTAAAAGCTCAAAAAGCCAGAATGCCTTCTTTCCTCCAAACAACCACATCACCTCTCCAGCAAGGATTCTCAACTGGGCTGAGATGGCTGAAATGACAGAAATAAAATTCAGAATTTGGATAGGAATGAAGATAATTGAGCTACAGGAGTACATTGAAACCCAATGCAAGGAAGCTAAAATTCATGATAAAACAATTCAGGAGCTGACAGACAAAATAACCAGTACATAAAAGAATGTAACTGACCTAATAGAGCTGAAAACACACTACAAGAATTTCATAATGCAATCACAAGTATTAATAGCAGAATAGACCAGGTGGAGGAAAGAATCACAGAGCTTGAAGACTGGCTTTCTGAAATAAGACAGTCAGACAAGAATAGAGAAAAAATGATGAAAAGGAATGAATGAAACCTTCAAGAAATATGGGACTATGTAAAGAGATCAGATCTATGACTCATTGGTGTCCCTGAAAGAGATGGGGAGAATGGAACCAACTTGGAAAACATATTTCAGGATATCATCCATGAGAACTTCCCCAGCCTAGCTACAGAGGCCAACATTGAAATTCAGGAAATGCAGAGACCCCCCAGTAAGAAATTTTACAAGAAGATCATCCCCAAGGCACATAGTCATAAGATTTTCCAATGTTGAAATCAAAGAAAAAATATTACAGACAGCTAGAGAAATGTCAAGTCACCTAAAAAGGGAAGCTAATCTGACTAACAGTGGACCCATCAGCTGAAATTCTACAAGCCAGAAGAGATTGCGGACCAATACTCAACATATTTAAAGAAAAGAAATTCCAATCCAGAATTTCAGACTGGCCAAACTAAGCTTCATAAGCAAAGGGGAAATAAAATCCTTATCAGACAAGCAAATATTGAGGCAATTTGTTACCATCAGACCTGCCTTACAAGAGCTCCTGAAAGAAGCCCTAAATATGGAAAGGAAAGACCATTACCAGGCACTACAAAAACATGCTGAAGTACACAGACCAGTGACAATATAACGAAGCCACATAAACAAGTCTGCAAAATAACCAGTTAACATCATGATGACAGAATCAAATCCACACATATCAATACTAACCTTGAATGTAAATGGGCTAAATGCCCCAATTGAAAGACACAGAGTGGCAAGCTGGATAAAGAACCAAAACCCATTGGTATGTTGTCTTCAAGAGGTCCATCTCACATGCGATGACACACATAGGCTCAAAATAAAGGCATGGAGAAAAATCTACCAAGCAAATGTAAAACAGAATAAAAGCGTGGGTTGCAATCCTAGTTTCAGGTGAAACGGAGTTTAAACAAACAAAGATTTAAAAAATGCGAAGAAGGGCATTACATAAAGGTAAAGGGTTCAACTCCAAAAGAATATCTAACTATCCTAAAATATACATGTACCCAATAGAGACAGGCTTACTGAGATTTATAAAGCAAGTTCTTAGAGACTTTCAAAGAGGTTCCACACAATAATAGTGGGAGACTTTAACACCTTACTGACAATATTAGAGAGATCATCAAGACAAAAAATTAACAAAGATATTAAGAAACTGAACTCAACCCTGGATCAAATGGATCTGATAGATATCTACATAACTCTCCAACCAAAAACAACAGAATATACATTCTTCTCATTTCCACATGGCACATACTCTAAAATTGATCACATAATCAAAAGTAAAACACTCGTTAGCAAATGCAAAAGAACTAAAATAATAGCAATCCATTGGACAACAGCACAATCAAATTAGAAATTAAGACTAAGAAATTTACTTAAAACCAATTATATGGAAATTGAATAACCTGCTCCTGAATTACTTTTGAGTAAATAATGAAATTAAGGTGGAAATCAAGAAGTTCTTTGAAACTAATGAGAACAAAGATACAATATACCAGAATCTCTGGAACACTGCTAAAGTATGTTAAGACAGAAATTTATAGCACTAAATACCTACATCAATAAGTTAGAAAAATCTGAGGTAAACAACCTAAAATCACAACTGAAATGACTAGAGACCCACGAGCAAACAAATCTTGAAGCTAGCAGAAGACAAGAAATAACCAAAATCAGAGCTGAACTGAATGAAATTGAGACATGAAAAACTATTCAAGAGATCAGTGAATCCAGAAGCTGGTTTTTTGAAAAAAAAAAAAAAAAAAAAAAACATAAAAAAGACGGCCCTCTAGCTAGACTAATACTAATAAAGAAAAAAAAATGAGAGAAGATTCAAATAAACACAATCAGAATTGACAAGGGGGATATTACCATTAACCCCACAGAAATACAAACAACCATCAGAGAATACTATGAAGAACTCTAGGCAAGTAAACTGGAAAATCTAGGAGAAATGGATAAATTCCTGGAAACATACAACTTCCCAAAACTGAATCAAGAAGAAATTGAATCCGTGAATAGATCAATAATGAGCTCTGAAATTGAGGCAGTAATAAATAGCCTACCAACCAAAAAAGACCAGGACCAGATAGACGCAAAGCTGAATTCTACCAGATGCACAAAGAAGAACCGGTACCATTTCTGCTGAAACTATTCCAAAAAAATTGAGGGAGAGGGACTCCTTCCTAACTCATTCTATGAGACCAGCTTCATTCTGACACCAAAAACTGGCAGAGATACAACAAAAGAAAAATGAAAACTTCAGGCACAAATCAAGAAGTTCTTTGAAACTAATGAGATTCCTTGAAAAACATAGATGCAAAAATTCTCAACAAAATACTGGCAAACTCCATCCAGCAGCACATCAAAAAACTTATTCACCATTATCAAGTAGGCCTTATTCCTGGGATGCAAGGTTGGTCCAACATACACAAATCAATAAATATGATTCATCACATAAACCAAACTAAAGGCAAAAACCACGTGATTATCTCAATAGATAAGAAAAGGCTTTCGATAAAATTCAACATCGCTCTATGTTAAGAACTCTCAATAAACTAGGTACTGAAAGAACGTACCTCAAAAATAATAGGAGCCATCTATGACAAACCCACAGCCAGCATCATACTAAATGGGCAAAAGCTGGAAGCATTCCCCTTGAAAACAAGCACAAGACAAGGATTCCCTCTCTCACTACTTCTATTCAGCATAGTATTGGAAGACCTGGCCAGAGCAATAAGGCAAGGAGAAAGATTTAAAACACCTCCAAATAGGAAGAGAGGTAGTCAAACGACCCCAGTTTGGAGATGGCACGTTTCTACATCTAGAAACCCCGTAGTATCAACCCAAAAGCACCTTAAGCTGATAAACAACTTCAGCAACATCTCAGGATACAAAATCAATGTACGAAAATCACTAGCATTCCTATACACCAATGATAGGCAATCAGAGAGCCAAATCATGAACAAACTCACATTTACAATCGCCACAAAAAGAATAAAGTACCTAGGAATACAGCTAACCAGGGAGGTAAAAGAACTCTACAAGGAGAAATACAAAGCACTGCTCAAAGAAATGACACAAATGGAAAAACATTCCATGCTCATGAATAGGAAGAATCAGTATCATTAAAATAGCCATACTGCCCAAAGCAATTTAAAGATTCAATGCTATTCCTATGAAGCTACCATTGACATTCTTCACAGAACTAGAAAATGGTATTTTAAAATTCATATGGAACCAAAAAAACAGCCCATATAGCCCAGGCAATCCTAAGCAAAAAGAACAAAGATGGAGGCATCATATTACTTGACTTCAAACTATACTACAGAGCTACAGTAACCAAAACAGCATGGTACTGGTACAAAAACAGACACATAGACCAATGGAACAGAATAGAAAACCCAGAAATAAGGCCACTCACCACCATCTGATCTTCAGCAAAGCTGACAAAAACAAGCAATGGGGAAAGGAGATCCTATTCAATAAATGGTGTTGGGATAACTGGCTAGCTATATGCAGAAGATTAAAACTGAACCCCTTCTTTACACCACATATGAAAATTAACTCAAGATGAATTAAAGACTTAAATGCAAAACCCAAAGCTATAAATACCCTGGAAGACAATCTAGGCAATACCATCCTGGACATAGGAACTGGCAAAGATTTCATGATGAAGACACCAAAAGCAATAGCAACAAAAGCAAAAATTGACAAATAGGATCTAAGTAAACAAAAGAGCTTCTGCACAGCAAAGGAAACTATCAATTGATTAAACAGACAACCTACAGAATGAGAGAAAGTATTTGCAAACTATGCATCCAACAAAGGTCTAATATCCAACATCTATAAGGAACTTAAACAAATTTAAAAGAAAAAAAACCCATTAAAAAGTGGGCAAAGGACATGAAAAAACACTTTTCAAAAGAAGACATACAGGTAGACAACAATGATCATCAGAGAAATGCAAATCAAAACCGCAAAGAGATACCATCTCACACCAGTCAGAATGGCTATTAAAAAGTCAAAAAATAACAGATGCTGGCAAGCATGTGGAGAAAAAGCAATACTTATACATTGTTGGTGGGAGTATAAATTAGTTCAACCATTGTGGAAGACAGTGTGGCAATTTCTCAAAGACCTAGAAACAGAAATATTAATACCTTCGACCCAATAATCCCATTACTGGGTATACATCCAAAGGGATATAAATTGTTATAATATAAAGACACATGTATGTGTATGTTCATTGCAACACTACTCACAGTAACAAAGACACAGAATATACCTAAATGCCCATCAACGAGAGACTGGCTAAAGAAAAGGAACTGGAGGCCGTTGTCCTTAGCAAACTAATGCAGGAACAGAAAACTAAATACTGCATGTTCTCACTTATAAGTGGGAGCTAAATGATGACAGCACATGAATACATAGAGGGTAACACACACTGGGGCCTTTCAGAGGGTAAACGTTGAGAGGAGGGAGACAATTAGGGAAAACAACTAAGAGATACTAGGTTTAATACCAGGGTGATGACATAATCGATACAACAAAACCTGATGACACAAGTTTACCTATATAATAAATCTGCATATGTACTCCTCAACTTAAAATAAAAAAATTAAAAAAAGATGAATCAAATTCACTTATTAGTAGATAGTCTTATAGAAGCAAGACTGATTTTTCTTTGAAAATCCAAGCAGAACTTTTGCTATATTGATACATCATTTACATATTTTTATATTTACTGTGTAGTTTATTAACTTTTTGCTCTGGCTGAAATTTTTATGAGATTCTAGAATAAATACACAAAATTTAATATAATTATGTCTCACAATTTTGAGATAAAACAAATGGCATTTTAAATTCAAGAGAAATTGTTTAATCTTATAGTAAATAATGTAATTAGAAAGAAAAATATATTTAACAACCCGTCATTATCTTTTTGTAAAATAAACATACACATTATTATCCATTACATGATTTTTCATATGCAGGTTAAGATTTGAACAAAAATATAAAACGAAATACTGGAAGGAAACATAGAAAACTATCCTTATAATATTTAAGTGAGGAAATCTTTCTAAGCATTATACAAACCCACAGTGCATAAAGACTTGACTCCATAAAAATCTGAAATCTCTATAACAAAAATCATAAAGTTAGGTTTTTTTTAAACTGGAAAAAATGTAACATAAATTACAGACCTGATAAGATTCTTAATATTGTAAAAACCCTTACAGATCACTATATAAAGTAATAAAAATATCTCAATACAATAGTGAGACAATAGATTTGAACAAGTAACTCCGAAGAAATATAAATGGCAATTAAATGTGAATATGTAAATAATTAAATGTGAACTTATGAATTATATCACAAATAATTTTTAAATCCATGTTTAAAATAGTGTAATCGTTTTTCTGTGGAAATAAAAAGATTGAAGGAAAGATGATACCTAGGACTGATGAGGGTAAATTAAAAACAAATTGGATATTCTTATACACTCGAATGTAAGTTGTTATTTCTTTCTTGAAATGATTTGCCGTAGGTATAAATATAAGATGCATCTGGCCTAATTACTTTGTTCCTTGAAAATTTTCCTAAGGAAATAATACAATGTGTGTGTGCATGTGTGTGTGTATGTACATGTAGGTATAAGGAAATTTATTACAACATCGTAAAAACAAAAAGTCCATTAACTGTCTATTGATAGGGAATTCATTAAATATGTTACAGGATATCGGCGGGCGCGATGGCTCACGCCTGTAATCTCAGCACTTTGGGAGGCCAAGGCGGGCGGATCACGAGGTCAGGAGATGGAGACCATACTGGCTAACACGGTGAAACCCCGTCTCTACTAAAAATACAAAAAATTAGCCGGGCATGGTGGCAGGCGCCTGTAGTCCCAGCTACCGGGAGGCTGAGGCAGGAGAATGACGTCAACCCGGGAGGCAGAGCTTGCAGTGAGCCGAGATCGCGCCACTGCACTCCAGCCTGGACGACAGAGCGAGACTCCGTCTCAAAATATATATATATATGTTACTGGATATCTTTACCCAATCCAAGCATCTTCTTCAACCTCCATCAGCAGATCTTTTAGTTTCAGCTTCTTCTAACACATATTATGAAACCAAAAATGTTATCCCACATCCCTCTGCAGCACTTTCACCTCTGCCATAGATCATCACTCATTAGCTGCTGTCCATTGCCTGAAACTCCTTTCCAGATGCCTTAATAGTAAACTGTCCTGTCACTTCAGGTCCAAGGAGAAAATTTGTTGAGGACAGGAATGCTTCCTTTTACCACTTCAGTCCTTTACTCTTTGAAATACCGTCACGCTGCACATAGTATTTAATGATCCTTTTAATATGCTTTGAATTTAGTTTGCTAATATTTCATTGAAAATTTTTGCATCCAAGTTTATCAACGATATTGGCCTGTAATTTTCTTTTCTAAAAGTTGTGCTTCTCTGGCTTTCCTACCACGGTAGTCTTGGCCTTATAAAACGAATCTGAAAATATTTCCTCCTTTGAAGATGGTAATAGTTCTTCTTTAAATGTTTGGTAGAATTCAGCAGTCAGTCTATCATGTCCTGGGCTTATCTTTTTTTCTTTTTAAAGGGAGACTTTTTATTACTGATTCAATCTCCTTATTCATTATTGGTCTGTTCAGGTTTTATTTCTTCCTCATTTCAGTCTTGGAGGTTGTATGTTTCCAGAGATTTATCCATTTCTTTTAGGTTAACAAATGTATTGGTGGTGTATAACCATTCGTAGTAGTTTCTTGTGATCCTTTCTACTTCTGTGGTTTCAGTTGGAAAGTCTCACCTTTCATTTTGGATTTTATTTATTTGAGTATGCTTTCTCTTTTCTTAGTCTAACTGAAGATTTGACAATCTTGTTTAGTTTTTCAAAAAACAAACCCTTAGTTTTATTGATCTTCTCTATTGTTTTTCCAGTCTCTATTTCATGTATTTTTGTTCTGGTTTTTGTTGTTTTCTTCCTCCTACTAACTTAGGATTTAGTTTGTCCTTACTTTTCTAGGTTTTTGAGATGTAGAGTTAGGTTTATTGATATTTTCTTTTTTCTTCATTTTGGCATTTATCACTATAAACTTCTCTTGCAGAACTGCTTTTGCTCATCCTATAAGTTTCGATATGTTGTGTTGCCACTTTCATTTGTCTCATAATGCTTTTAATTTCCCTTTTTATTTCTTATTTGAGGCATTGGTTATTCAGATGTGTGTTGTTTAATTTCCACATATTTAGAAGTTTTCTGAAATTCCTCCTATTATTGATTTCTAGTTTCATCCCATTGTGGTTAGAAAAGATACTTGATATTATTTCAATCTTCTTAAATTTGTTACGACATGTTTTGTGATAAAACTTGTTGTCTACCCTGGAGAATATTCCATGTGAGCTTTAGAAAAATTTGTATTCTGAATCCAACTAAAAAATGGACAAAAGATCTGAATAGACATTTTTCAAAAGAAGGCATACAAATGGCAAACATATATATGAAAAGGTGTTCAACATCATTGATCATCAGAGAAATGCAAATCAAACATACAATGAAATACTATCTCACCACAGTTAGAATGGCTGTTATCTAAAAGTCAGGCAATAACAAATGCTGGTGAGGACATGGAGAAAAGGGAACTCTTGTACACTGTTGCTGGGAGTATAAATTAGTACAACCACTATGGAGAACAGTTTGGAGGTTTCTCAAAAACTAAAAATAGAGCTACCGTATGATCTACAATTCCATTCCTAGATATATTCCCCCAAAAAAGGATATTTGTATATAGAAGAGATATCTGCACTCCCATGTTTATTACAGCACTATTCACAATAGCCAAGATTTAGAAGCAAACAAAGTATCCATCAACAGGTGAATGGATAAAGAAAATGTGGTGCATATACACAATGGAGTACTATTCAGCCATAAAGAAGAATGAGATTCTGTCATTTGCAACAACATGAATAGAACTGGAGATCATTATGTAAAGTGGAATAAGCCAGGCACAGAATGACAAACTTCACATGTTCTGTCACTTATTTATGGGAGTTAAAAATTAAAATAATTGAACTCATGGAGAATGAGAGTAGAAGGATGGTTACCAGAGGGCGGAAAGGGTAGTGGAAGGAGAGGGGAGAATGGGAAAGGTTAATGGGTAGAAAAAAAATCATTAGAAAGAATGAATAAGAACTAGTATGTGCTAGCTCAACAGAGTGACTACAGTCAATAATAATTTAATTGTACATTTTGAAATAACTAAAATAATACTTGAATTGTTTGTAAAACAAAGGATAAATTCTTGAGGTGATGGATACCTCATTTACCCTAATGTGATTATTACACATCATGTGCCTGTACCAAAATATCTCATATAACCCATTAATATGTGTATCTACTATGTATCGACAAAAATTAAAAATAAAAATAATGTGCATTCTGCTGCTATTGGATAGAATGTACTGTATATATCTGTTAGGTCCATTTGGCATAAAGGATAGTTTATGTCCAATATTTCCTCATTGATTTTGTGTCTGGAGGAGCTATCCTTTGTTGAAAGCAGAATATTGAAATTCCCTTACTATTATTGTATTAGAATCTATCTCTCCCTTCAGATCTGTGCATACACAGGTATGCACAATGATTATATTTACATAATAAATTGGCCCTTTTATCATTATATAATAACTTTCTTTGTCTCATTTTACAGTTTTTGACTTACAGTCTATTTTGTCTGATAGTATAACTACCTCCTCTTTCTTTGGTTTCCATTTGTATGGAATATCTTTTTCTATCCTTTTACTTTCTGTTTATGTGTATCTTTAAAGCTGAAGTGAGCCTCTTGTAGGCAGCATATAGTTGGGTCTTTTTTTCGTCTGTTAAATCATTCTTGGTTTTGACTGGAGAATTTAATCCATTTATATTTAAAGTAATTATTAATAAGTTGGGACTTATTCTTGACATTTTTAATTGTTTTCTGGCTGTTACCTAGTTTCTTTCTTTCCTCCTCTCTTGCCATCATCTTTTGCAATTTGATGATTTTTTTGTGGTGGTATTCTGTGATTACTTTATCTTTGGTGTATATACTATAGATTGTTGCTTTTTTGTTACCATAAAGCTTACACAAAGTGTCTTGTAGTTATAATAGGCTCTCTTAAGCTGGTAACAACTTCACTTTGATTGCACTTAAAAAAATCAACATTACTTTTCTTTTTATGTTCTTGATGTCTCAATTTATATCTACTCATATTGTGTATTCCTTAACAAATTATTGTAGCTATACTTATTTTTAATAGTTTTATCTTTTAATCATTATACTAGAATTGTAAGTAATTTACACACCAACTATATAGTGTTAGAGTATTCTGAATTTAACCAAATACTTTCACCAGTGAGTTTTATACTGTCATAAGTTTTTTTTGTTACTATGCTTTCTTCCAAATTGAAGAACTCCATTTAGCATTCCTTATGACAGGTCTGGTGGTGATTAATTTCATGAATTTTTGTTTTTCTGGGAAATTCTATCTCTCCTTCATTTCTGAAAGACAACTTTACAAGGTTAAGTATTCTCAGTTGGCAGTTTTCTTTTCTTTCAGCACTTTGAATGTATCATCTCAGTGTCTCCTGGTCTGCAAAGTTTCTGCTAAGAAATCCACTGGGAGCCTTATTACTCTTGTATGTGAAGAACTTTCTTCTCTCTTGGTATTTTCAACATTCTCTCTGTCATTAATTTTTGACAGTTTGATTATAATATATCTTAGTAAAGTCCTCTTTGAATTAAACCTAAGTGGAGATCATTAAAGTTCAAGCTCCTGCAAGTCCATATCTGACCCTAGATTTGGAAAGTTTTAAGCCATTATTTCTTTAAGTAAGTTTTCTGCCCCTTTCTCTCTCTCTCTTCTCCTTGGACTCTTATAATGAAAAAAGTTAGCTATCTTGATGGAGTCTCATAACTCCCACAGACATTTTCATTTATTTTTATCTTTTTTTTCCTTTCCTTTTTTTCTCTGTCTTCAAAGACTTGTCTTCTAGCTCACAAATTCTTTTTCAGCTTGATCAAGTCTAGTCTATTGTTGATACTCTCTATTGCATTCTTTGTTTCATTTTTTATAATATTCAGCTTCAGAATGTCTTTTTTAATGATATATGTTGCTTTATTGAACTGCTCATTTTGTTCATGCATTGTTTTCTGAATTATTTGAGTTGTCTATGTTCTCTTTTTTGCTGAGCTTTCTTAAAAAAAAGATTTTGAATTCTTTGTCAAATAAGTAATAAATCTCCACTTCTTTGAGGCCAGTTACTGGAAAACTATTGTATTCATTTTCATTTAGCAATGTCATGATTCTTTGATTTTTTTTATGTTTCTTTTTGTTCTGTTTTGATGTCTGCACATTTGATGGAACAGACACTTCTAGACTTTATGAACTCTGTGGTTTGTTTTTGCTCATTTTTTTATTAAGAGGTTCATTGCAGTATTACAATATTGTACTATATCTTTGATTAATCTCCTGATTTCTTTTATTCTGTCTCAGAACTTGGGTACAAGTTGTGCTGGATCAGCACAATGATGAGAGACAAACACAGAGGGAAGGAAACAAGAACCTAGCCTAAGACAAGACCAAAATAATGTGACAAGCATGAATAGAGGTGACCCAACTGCCAAAACTGATTAAGGGTAGCAGCTGAATGGACAAAATTTTGTCAACTATATGAAGAAACTTTTTATTTACTAATAACACCATTCTTATTTGTAGAATCTGTGTCCTGGCCCATGCCAGAAATTGATTTGCCTTTGGAAAAAAAATTTCATAAACTATTAATTTGAGGAAGGCTTTTTTGTACATCTGAATTAATTATTAGTAGTTTGTTTTTATATGATGTTTTAAATTGTGTTTTGTCAGAAATTAAATGTAATGGATTTGGTTATAAATGAGGCAATTGCTTATTAATTAATGAGTTAATGAGGATTAATTCATTTAGTCCTCACACAACCCTACAAGTTAAGAATCTTTTAAAATACTTTATAAATGAGAAGCCAGCATAAAACTGAGGACATTATAGATGTTTAAAGAATTTGAATAACTGTTAGAAAATTCAATTAAAATATATAAAAATAAGTGGCTTCCCCTGAGATGGGATTTCAGTATCTGGCCCAAAGTAATAAAGCATCAATTAAAATACCCACTAGTCTCTTAAAGTAGCAAGGCTATTGAGGATCATAATCTGTTTATTCATCCTTGCCCCCCAGAAAATTATCAGTAAGGTGTGAATAAAAAGGGAGGCCAAGGCAGGCGGATCACCTGAGGTCAGGAGTTTGTAGGCCAGCCTGGTCAACATGGTGAAACCCTGTCTCTACTAAAAATATAAAAACTAGCCAGGCGTGGTGGCAGTCACCTGTAATCCCAGCTACTCGGGAGGCTGAGGCAGGAGAATCGCTTGAACCCGGGAGGTGGAGGTTGCAATGAGCCAAGATCGCGCCACTGCACTCCAGCCTGGGGGGCAAGAGTGAGACTTCATCTAAAAAAAAAAAAAAATCACATATGACCCATGCCTTCAGCAATACTAAAAGAGATTACCATAACATTCAATTTACCTGTCACTAAAGAAATAAAACCTAAACCCAACAGAGGTATCATTGGCTCTCTATCTGCCTCTGTAAGTCTATGGGTAATAAAAGTAGGGAGGGGAGTATTAAGAAATCCTTGAAAAAGAGAAGAGGAAAGCAACAAACTTAGATGAAGTAGGAAAAATAAATACTGTAAGAAGGAAAGGCCCAACATTATGTAATAAAATACTAGACACTGGTCTTGTATGCATTTATTCAAAGAACCAGCCACAGGGAAGGGGCTTGAAAATGAATGGGAGAAGAGATAGCAAGTCCTAGAAGCATTGTTTCTGGAGAGAATGAAATAAAAAGAAAAACAAAGTGTTGAAAATGCCTTAGAAATGTAGCAGTAAAGTCCAAGAAAAAAGGAAGTAAAATTGGAAACGTGAAGATCTTGCAAAAATGAAATGAAATAAAGAACATCATTCCTTCTCACTTCTCCCTCCACCACAAAAAAAAAAAAAAAAAAAAAAATCATCCGTGAAGGAAATTACACTTTACTAGACTGGCAGAAGAGGACACTCCTAATTAGAAACCCTATTGATGACACAAAAAACTAGGATAAGAAGGAAATATAAAATATATTTCAGAACATATCAGCTGGTAAAAACTTTTCCCAATGAGCCAAAAAGAAAAAATGGAATACAACAATCTAAAATTATTTAAATATCTTTCAATAAGCGTTTAAAATATTAAAAAACAAAAAACAGAGATGGACCCAAGAAAGGAATAAATGCAACCAGATTTTTTCAAACTCAGAAAGGATTAAAGAAAAATAAAACAAAACTGAGAAACGAAAGATAAACTGCAAGATGCCCAAAAATAAATAATTTGAAGAAACTTTAATAAGATACATTTAAGAATGAAAGGAAAACTACCAAGTGATAAATGAGATAAATGAAATGAGATAGAGAAAAGAACTACAATGGGCAGAAAATGTTTGAAATGGAAGACAAAGATCCAACATGCATACACTTGAACTTCTTCAGAACAGAAACAACACAATGAGAGATAACTAATATCTGTAATCCAAAGAATGGGAAAGAGGGGCTTCAGAAATAGGAGAAAGCTTAGAGCTACATACTTAAAGTGTCCACTATGTATCTGAGGAAAAAAGTGACACAAAATGGTTTACTCTAAGATTTAGGTTAATAAAACTACCACATTTTAAAGTCAGTGAGAAAAATTTCTGGGCCTCTAGGCAAAAATATAAAATTACATAAAGGTAAAAAATTGGGGGAAAATTGTACTGACGTCAGACTTATCAAAAGCACCATATAAAGAAAGGCAACAGTGGAGTAAAATTTTCAAAACCTCAAGAGAAGAGATTATTAGCTAAATTACTTCTTCATATATTAAAGCTAAACAAATTTTAATGCACATAAACTGAAAGAAGTTGTGCCTTTCCTGAGCATCTATTACAGAATGATACACAATCTAGTGATAATTGGAAAAATTGGGGCTAAAAGACTAGTGGTGAGCATTTTAATATATTTTATTTATTTAATTGTAGAACTAAGACTAAGAATAGAAATGGGCTGGGCACAGTGGCTCACACTTGTAATCCCTGCACTTTGGGAGTCCAAGGCCAGTGGATCACCTGAGGTCAGGAATTCAAGACCAGCCTGGCTAATATGGGGAAATCTCGTCTCTCCTAAAATTACAAAAATTAGGGGGCATGGTGGTGGGTGCCTGTAATCCCAGCTACTCGGGAGGCTGAGGCAGGAGAATTGCGTAAACCTGGGAAGCGGAGGTTGCAGTGCGCCAAGATCGTGCCACTGCACTCCAGCCTGGGTGACATGGCGAGACTCTGTCTCAAAAAAAAAGAATAGTATTGGGTGTGGGTGGAAGAAAAATTTAAAGACATATTTGAAAACAGTGGGAAGAATGCGACTGATTTAAAAAAGGGAGAAAAGAAATGGAAAGTAAGATTTATTCTTATTGCACAGGTAACAGGTTGGAGTCAAGGTATATCATTTAAAACTGACAAACCAGACTGTGAAAGATCAGGCAAAAAAAAAAAAAAAAAGGATTAAGAGGACTATAGAAAGTTTAAATGCAACCTTTCTTAAACACTAAAGGAGCATTTTTTCCAAAGAACAAAAACAGTTGATACAGTTTGCCTGCGTTCCCACCCAAATTTCATCTTGAATTGTAGTTCCCATAATCCCCATGTGTTGTGGGAGGGACCTGGTGGGAGGTAATTGAATCATGGGAATGGTTACCCCCATGCTGCTGTTCTCATAATATCGAGAGTGAGTCCTCATGAGATCTGATGGTTTTATAAGCAGCTTTTCCCCTTTTGCTCAGCACTTCTCCTTCCTGCCCCCAGAGAAGAAGGATGTGTTTGCTTCCCCTTCTGCCACGATTGTAAGTTTCCTGAGGCCTCCTCAGGCCTGGGTTGATTTTGCCTATTAAAACGCTTTTCAATTAACTTAAAAACCCAACTCTATGCCATCAATATGGACACATTTAAAACAGAATGATTCAAAAGGCAAAAGGTAAAAGGATAGAAAAGATATATCAGGAAAATTCAAACAATAAAAAAGCATGGTTGTGATCTAATATCACCCAATGTGAAATATAGGCTACAAATTATTAATTGAGACTAAAGTTGTTTTATAATGGCTAATGCTACAATTCACAATGAAGATGTGAATTAACTTATAATTCATGTGTATATATTTAATCTATGCATACAAAAAACTGTAATCACTTATATAAAGCCAAAATTACAGTCAATGCAATAAAAATAATACTATACTAATAATAAAAGATTTTAGCTCAACACTCAGTACAGGACAGATTAAATGGACCAAAAAAACCAAACAAGCCTTCTTTGAAAGAAGTAACAAGGTATGCCTTATGGATATAAATCAAATATCACATTATGCTTCTTTTTTTTTTTTTTTTTGAGACCGAGTCTCGCTTTGTCGCCCAGGCTGGAGTGCAGTGGCGCAATCTCAGCTCACTGCAAGCTCTGCCTCCCAGGTTCACACCATTCTCCTGCCTCAGCCTCCCGAGTAGCTGGGACTACAGGCGCCCACCACCATGCTCGGCTAATTTTTTTGTATTTTTAGTAGAGACGGGATTTCACTGTGTTAGCCAGGATGGTCTCAATCTCCTGACCTCCTGATTCACCTGCCTCAGACTCCCAAAGTGCTGGGATTACAGGCGTGAGCCACCATGCCCAGCCCACAGTATGCTTCTTAAATGCATTTGAAATATTCAGAAAAATATTTCATCAGCATTAAATTTACTGAATTTGATGGCTGTCCAATGGTTATGAAAGTGAACTTCTTTGTTTATAGAAAATATACATTGAAGTATTAAGGGCTAATGGGGCATAATTAAGAAATATAAAAAATAAGTTTAAAAAATTAGAGTTTTCTCTACTGCTTTTTCAACTTTCCGGTAAATATGAAATTATTTCAAAAGAAAAAGTTCAAAATTAATAAGCTATTATTTTGATAGAGGCTTGCATTTGCTTGATAGTCTGTTGCTAACAAACTCATTGACCTATCTTCTCCCAAGCTACAAAACACAGAACACAGCACCACGGATGCCAGGACAACCAGCTGCATTCTTCTCTAACTACTGCACGAATTCTGGAGGTTAAAAGTGCACTGTGTTGTTTTATGTTTTGTGCTAAAAACCTTCTGCATCTGCTTTAAGTATCTAGGACTTAAAAATTGGTGTCAACAGTAAAATATGTTCATGCTTGATGTCCATTTGTACAGTATTAATTATCTTTCTCTTAAAGTGAGCTTGTATGCAAGAGCCAAACCTCATGGTTTTATAACAAGAAGAATCAAGCTTCCATCCTTCTTTTGGGAACTAACATTAAAAATTCTCCCATGAAGTGAAAAACAATGCAGGCATTTAATAAAAGTATCTTAACAATGTGAGTCATATTGTATGAAGCTTTTATGATGAATAAGATCCTTTAATGGTCAATGAGCAGACCGTAACTCTATGAACATGCAGTAGCAGTTTCCAGCCAAGACTGACGTTCCAGAGTCAGACTGCAGTCCTTAGAAAAGCAACTAACAGAACAAGACAGGGTACCAGAAAACTCATCAGAATTTCAGGATCTGGCACACATGAGGATTGGAAGAAGTACAGCTTTAGAAAAAAAAAAAAAAAAAAAACGAGAACACAGCAGTCCCAGAAATTTCAGATTCAAAGCCTGATCGCAAAGGATGGATGATAGAGAAAGATATCAGACAAAGGCTTCCTGAGAGAGGTTAATGCTAAACCTGAATCAAAGGAGCAACAAAGATTGCTTAAATACTTGCTGTCAAAAGCCCCAGCTGAATGGCTTCGGGAGTCAGAGGCCAGGGAAATGAAATATTACAGCATTTTCTCCATATTTCTCTGGGAAAGCATTGATTTGAAAGGCAAATTGATTTCCAGGAACATTTATAGTGTATATTGTCTATGCCTTCTAAATTAGAATGTAATTGGGCATATTCTTCTCAAATAACTACTTAACATGATTCAGTTTTGCCTCCTGAGGAATACACCTTACACTTCCTATGTCAATGTAGAAGCTAGAAAAATACTGAAATAACAAATGTGTCTTTATTGAAAAAACAGCCTGCAGATAAAATCCTCATTATATTCATAAGCAAATATAACACAGAAAACATAGAAAAAAGTGAAAAAAAATCTCGTGTAAAATGCTCGTATTTTCCACTAGAGACAAAGAATACATTAACTTTCCCTTTCCTTTTAATAAATAGCTAAATATTTATAGATTCCTTCCAGTCCTACCAGCCAGATGGTAATTACCATTGTCAGAAATATTAAGCAATGATTATATGCAATATTTCCTTTCATCTGGTTACGTGGGAGCAGATGCCCTTTCAGTATGCTTATAGTCACTGTCCTCTGGTCAGCACACTAGGCATTGCAGAAAAATAAAAAACAGCTCCATTATAGTGGTATTCAGCAACTCTCTTCTTTTCTTAGCTGAATTACTTTAAATACATATTTTCATTACTTCTGCCTTTGGTCCATATTTATCCGTCTTTAAAATAAGAAGGTAGAACAAATCTCTGAGGTGCCTTTCACCTGGGACATTCTGAGACTCCTTCCGGTGAATAGAGGTCAATTGTCTGTGAACAGAAACCTCAAACCACAGGTGAGACAGAGGCCACCCCAAATGGCTATGACTACAAAGCATTTATGTTCCAGGTGAGGAAAGAGAGAGCATCACAAATGATTCTTTTTAGACTGCTTCCATTCCCTGTAGGTCAGAACTGTCATCTGCAAAAAAGGCAGCAGTACATAACCTAGTTCTCCTGACATATAAGTCACTATTTTTCAAAATAATTTAAATCACATAAAATTTTAATCATGCATCACATCAGTAATAACTTTTAAAACATAACAGCCTCAATGTATAAACATTTATTTTAAATATTTATTTACATATTAACTATATTATACATTCACTACTATCAATCTGTTATTAGTAAAGCATACTTTCTTCTTGAGAAAAACATAAATATAAATAAAAATTTGAACACTTTTACCACATATCTCTTTGGAGAACACTGATAAAAATGACAGCAGTGATGGCATTGGTTTGACGTTAATAAATGTTTGGTCTATAATTCAATTTATAACCCTGAACTAAACTCAGGCATTATTTTATGTTTTATATGTTCTCGAGGCTTCTTCAAATCAGAAACAAGCATCGCTTTGATTGGTAGAATGGAAAGATTTGTACTTAATCAGGCAGTAAACACAGAATAAGTCTTTCTCAGTTCTCTAGTTAAATATTATCCAGAAAATTCTATTGTTAAAATTCTTCTACATTTTCAGAATTTAAATGACTTTCTGGAGTACAAGTTAAAGAAGGCAGAGTCAGCCTTTCTATAGAAAGCTCTGTGTATTATGGAGACAAGTTTTGCAGATGTTCAAGAAAAGTTAATGGCCAGTAACAGAGTCCACACTCTCTCTGTACATTCCATAAACTCTGAGGAGTCTCTCATTTCTACTAGATAATAAACTCCCAGAAGGCACTTTGTCTTCTCTCTTTCCTGTAACAACAATTTGAATTCAGTAATGTTTTCTTCCCTGCAGAACAATCTAGTTTATGGCGAAATTATGAAGGGAAAAATTCTGTATTGAGCTTTTCAGGAGCCCTGCAGGTGCCCATTCCCCACTACACCACAGTCCACCTGGGTGATTCTTCCCTTTTCCCTTTAAGCACTTAATTGGAAAAATTGCATTTTAAGCTTACTTTTCTAAGAGAGAGATAGGAGTCTTGTTATGTTGCCCAGGCTGACTTTGAACTCCTGGCCTCAAGCAACACTTCTGCCTCAGTTTCCTAAGGGACTATACGCAGGTCTCGCCACACCTGGCTTTAAGCTTCCTCTTTGATGGAAGAGTGTGTATGTTGTTTCTAGGAAAACAAAAACTCAAGTATTATTAGAAGAAAAGTAAATTATTATGAATAGACATGAAATTTTTGTACCTATAAAATTATTTCAGATGAATGGTCACCTACATGACAGGCCAGGCCTGACTCGAAGCAAGGCAGCTGATGAACAGTATTGACAAAATTCAGTCCTTATAATAGTCCCCACTTAGCCACAGTTTTGTTTTCTACAGTTTCAGTTACCCATGGACAACCAGGGTCCAAAAATATAAATTGGAAATTTCCAGAAATAAACAATTCATGAGTTTTAAATTGTTCACTGTTGTGAATAGCAAGCACCTGCCCCTTAGTCACTTAGTAGCCATCTCGGTTACCAGATCAACTGTGGTAGTATCGCAAGGCTTATGCTCAAGTAACCCATATTTTACTTAAAAAGCACAAAAGCAAGAGTAGCAATGCTGGCATAGTGTTATCATTGTTCTACTTTGTTATTAGTTATTGTTGTGAATCCCTTATTGTACCTAATTTATAAATTAAACTTTATCACAGGTACTTATGTATAGAAGAAAACATAGGCTTTATGGGGGTTTGGTACTGCCTGAGATTTCAAGCACCCACTGGGGGTCTTAGAAAGTATCTCCCCCAGATGAAGGGGGACTACTATATTTTCAAGCCACCCAGATAATTATAATGCACAATCAGGACCAAGAACCTCTAGTCTAGAAAAGGAGTTTTTCTATTATGGTAAATTAAAACGACTAAAAAGAACTTGTTTTTAAAAATGTGATTATTTGGAAAAACACCCATAAATAATAAATCTTGCTAAGAATTTAGTATATAATTTTCAGTCAGATCTGCAGATGACACTCCTTTCCATAGTTTGGGAATCAGAGTTTAAAAATGCATGCAGAGAAATAGTTTAAAACGGGGGAAAAGTCATTATAAAATATAAACAAAAATTTAAAGCATGTTAAAACTGAGCACATTCTGAGCTATATTTCAGTACTAGTAGGTTTATTTCTGTTGATTTGGTGACGTGTAAATTGTGTATGTAAGATGAGTAAGAGATTTTATGAAAAATTTATAAGTAAATATATAAACATGTGAAGCTTGGAATGAAACTTACAAACTATAACTTGAGCTATTTTTTAATTGAGCTATATTTATATAACAATATTACAAGCTACTACTATAAGAAGTGCTTATTTATTTATGTGTTTGCTCTTCTACAGAATTCTCTAATGTTTACTAACAGATTCATGGCAAAAAAAAAAAGTTTTATGCATAATCCATACATTCATCAGTTTGTTCTAGCATGAATCTTTTGACGTTTAGAAAATATGACAAATATATACACTTATGTAATCCATGTACCTATCAAAATGCGGTTTTTTCAAAAACCTCAGAAATTTGTTAAATGCCTCTTTTGAGTTCATCCCAGCTCGCAAACCAGCATTCAGAGGTGACGTTTTTCTGACTTCTTTCCAAATAGATTTGCCTGTTCCGGAACATCATATACAAGGAATCAGCTGTAAATATTCTTTTTTTGTCTTTTTTCACTACCATGTGTAAAAATTAGTTTGTATTGTTTATCAGCAGTTCATTCTTTTTATTTTTGTGTAGCAGACCTATGTATGAATACACCACAAATTATTTATCCATGCCCCTCTTGATGGACATATGGATTAAATACAGTTTTGGGCTACTATGAACAAAGCTGCAGTGAACATTCTTGGCAAGTCTTGATACAGATTTGTTTTAATTTCTCTTGGATCAATGCCTAGGAGCATAATTTCTGGGCCATAATAGGGTAAGTGTATGTTTAGTTTTATTTAAAAACATTCCAACTAGGCTGGGCGCAGTGGCTCACGCCTGTAATCCCAGCACTTTGGGAGGCCGAGGCAGGTGGATCACAAGGTCAGGAGATTGAGACCATCCTGGCTAATACAGTGAAACCCCATCTCTACTAAAAATACAAAAAAATTAGCTGGGCGTGGTGGTGGGTGCCTGTAGTCCCAGCTACTCAAGAGGCTGAGGCAGAAGAATGGCGAGAACCCGGGAGGTGGAGCTTGCAGTGAGCTGAGATCGCACCACTGCATTCCAGCCTGGGTGACAAAGCAAGACTCCATCTGAAAAAAAAAAAATGTTTCAAGTATTTTCCAAAGTAATTGTATCATTTTACACTCCCACCAGCAATATATGAGTTTCAGTTGCTTCACATTCTAACCACAAGTTAGTGTTGTCAGTCTTTTTAATTTTAGCCATTCCACGAGTTTTGTAGTAGTACCTCGTGATTTTAATTTGAATGTTCGTGATTAAAAAAACTACACTAAGATACTGCTTGTGTGCTTAGCGGCCATTTTGTATCTTTTGTTAGGCATCTGTTCAAACCTTTTCATTTTAAGTTGGATTTTCTATTATTGATTTATAAGAGTTCTTTGTATATTCTGAATGAAATCATATGTCAAATGTATGTATTATATTTTCTAAAAAGCCCTCAACTTTGTGGCTTGCCTATTCACTTTCTTAATCAAGATGTGATGGTTAATTTTAGGTGTCAACTTGACGGGGTTAATAGCAGAAAACTGGTGCAGCATTATTTCTGAATGTATCTGCAAGGGTGTTTCCAGGGGAGACTGACCTGTCAGTCAATGGACTGAGTGAGGAAGATCCACCTTCAACAAGCACGGGGCACAATCCAACCAGCTGTGGGCAGACCAGGAGATTCCCTTGGGTGCCTATGCCACCAGGGCCCTGGGTTTCAAGTACAAAACTGGCAGACCATTTGGGCAGAAACCGAGCTAGCTACAGGAGTTTTTTTATACTCCAGTGGCACCTGGAATGACAGCGAGAAACAACCGTTTACTCCCCTGGAAAGGGGGATGAAGCCAGAAAACCAAGTGGTCTAGCTCAGCAGATCCTACCCCCACAGAGCACAGCAAGCTAAGATCCACTGGCTTGAAATTCTTGTTGCCAGCACAGCAATCTGAAGTCGACCTGGGACACTCGAGCTTGGTGGGGAGAGAGGGACATTCACCATTACTGAGGCTTGAGTAGGTGGTTTTCCCCTCACAGTGTAAACAAAGCAGCCAGGAAGTTTGAACTTGGCGGAGCCCACCACAGCTCCACCACAGCTCCACAAAGCCACCGTAGCCAGACTGCCCCTCTAGGTTCCTCCTCTCTGGGCAGGGCATCTCTGAAAGAAAGGCAGCAGCCCCAGTCAGGGGTTTATAGATAAAACTCCCATCTCCCTGGGACAGAGCACCTGGGGGAAGGGGCGGCTGTGGGCACAGCTTCAGTAGACTTACCTGTTCCTGCCTGGCAGCTCTGAAGACAGCAATGGGTCTCCAAAGCACAGCAATTGAGCTCTGCTAAGGGACAGACTGCCTCATCAAGTGGTTCCCTGACCCCCCTGCCTCCTGACTGGGAGACACCTCCCAGTAGGGGTTGACAGACACCGCATACAGGAGAGCTCCGGCTGGCATCTGGCAGGTGCCCCTTTGGGATGAAGCTTCCAGAGGAAGGAACAGGCAGCAATCTTTGCTGTTCTGCAGCCTCCACTGGTGATACACCCAGGCAAACAGGGACTGGAGTGAACCTCCAGCAAACTCCAGCAGACCTGCAGCAGAGGGGCCTGACTGTAAGAAGGAAATGTAATAAACAGAAATGAATAGCATTGTGTCCGGAATTGGTTCCTTCTGGTGGGTTCTTGGTCTCGCTGACTCCAAGAATGAAGCCGCGGACGCTTGCAGTGACTGTTACAGTTCTTAAAGATGATGTGTCCAGAGTTTGTTCCTTCAGATGTTCAGATGTGTCTGGAGTTTCTTCCTTCTGGTGGATTCGTGGTCTTGCTGACTTCAGGAGTGAAAGTGCAGACCTTTGCAGTGAGTGTTACAGCTCTTAAAGGTGGCGCATCTGGAGTTGTTCATTCCTCCCAGTGGGTTCATGGCCTCGCTGGCTTCAGGAGTGGAGCTGCAGACCTTCGCGGTAAGTGTTACAGTTCATAAAGATGGTGCGTCCGGAGTTGTTCGTTCCTCCTGGTGGGTTTGTGGTCTTGCTGGCTTCAGGAGTGAAGCTACAGACCTTCGCAGTGAGTGTTACAGCTCGTTGTTACAGCTTATAAAAGCGGCACGTCCGGAGTTGTTCATTCCTCCTGGTGGGTTCGTGGTCTCCCTGGCTTCAGGAGTGAAGCTGCAGACCTTTGCGGTGAGTGTTACAGCTCATAAAGGTAGTGAGGACCCAAAGAGTGAGCAACAGAAAGATTTATTGTGAAGAGTGAAAGAACAAAGCTCCCACAGCGTGGAAGGGGACCCAAGAAGGTTGCCGCTGCTGGCTCAGGTGGCCAGCTTTTATCCCCTTATTTGGCCCTGTCCATGTCCTGCTGATTGGTCCATTTTACAGAGTGCTGATTGGTCCATTTTTACAGAGTGCTGATTGGTGCATTTACAAACCTTTAGCTAGACACAGAGTGCTGATTGGTGCGTTTTTACAGAGTGCTGATTGGTGCGTTTACAAACCTTTAGCTAGACACAGAGTGCTGATTGGTGCGTTTTTACAGAGTGCTGATTGGTGCATTTACAAACTTTTAGCTAGACAGAAAAGTTCTCCAAGTCCCCACTCCACCCAGGAAGTCCAGATGGCTTCACCTCTCAGCATCAACATCAACAAAAAGGAGATCCACACATAAACCACATTCGAAGGTCACAAACATCAAAGACCAAAGATAGATAAATCCACAAAGATGAGGAAAACAAGTGCAAAAAGGCTGAAAATTTCAAAAACCAGAACACCTCTTCTCATTCAAAGGATTGCAACTCCTCACCAGAAAGGGAACAAAACTGTATGGAGAATGAGTTTGACGAATTGACAGAAGGAGGCTTAAGAAGGTGGGTAATAACAAACTCCTCTGAGCTAAAGGAGCGTATTCTAACCCAATGCAAGGAAGCTAATTACCTTGATAAAAGGTTACAGGAATTGCTAACTAAAATAACCAGTTTAGAGAAGAACATAAACGACCTGACGGAGCTGAAAAGAACAGCACAAGAACTTCGTGAAGCATGCACAAGTATCAATAGCCAAATCGATCAAGCAGAAGAAAGGATATCAGAGATTGAAGATCAACTTAAGGAAATTAAGCTTGAAGACAAGATTAGAGAAAAATGAATGAAAAGGAATAAACAAAGCCTCCAAGAAATATGGGACTATGTGAAAAGACCAAACCTACGTTTGATTGGTGTACTTGAAAGTGACGAGAAGAATGGAACCAAGTTGGAAAACACGCTTCAGGATATTATCCAGGAGAACTTCCCCAAACTAGCAAGACAGGCCAACATTCAAATTCAGGAAATTCAGAGAACACCACAAAGATAATCCTCGAGAAGAGCAACCCCAAGACACATAATCATCAGATTCATCAAGGGTGAAATGAAGGAAAATGTGTTAAGGGCAGCCAGAGAGAAAGGTCAGGTTTTCCATAAAGAGAAGATCATCAGACTAACAGCAGATCTCTCTGCAGAAACCCTACAAGGCAGAAAAGAGTGGGGGGCAATATTCAACATTATTTTTAAAAAGAATTTTCAACCCAGAATTCCATATCCAGACAAAGTAAGCTTCATATGCAAAGGAGAAATAAAATCCTTTACAGACAAGCAAATGTTAGAGATTTTGTCACCACCAGGCCTGCCTTACAAGAGCTCCTGAAGGAAGCACTAAATACAGAAAGAAAAACAGGTACCAGCCACTGCAAAAACATACCAAATTGTAAAGACCATCAACACTACAAAGAAACTACATCAACTAATGGGCAAAATAACCAGCTAGCATCATAATAAAAGGATCAAATTCACATATAACAATATTAACCTTAAATGTAAATGGGGTAAATGCCCCAATTAAAAGACACAGACTGGCAAATTAGATAAAGAGTCAAGACCTACTGGTGTGCTGTATTCAGGACCCATCTTACATGCAAAGACATGCATATAGGTTCAAAATAAAGGGAAGGAAAAATATTTACTAAGCAAATGGAAAGCAAGAAAAAGCAGGGCTTGCAATCCTAGTCTCTGATAAAACAGATTTTAAACCAACAAAGATCAAAAAAGATAAAGAAGAGCACTACATAATGGTAAAGGGATCAACATAACAAGAAGAGTTAACTATTCTAAATATATATGCACCCAATACAGGAGCATTCAGATTTAGAAAGCAAGTTCTTTGAGACCTACAAAGAGACTTAGACTCTCAAACAATAATAGTGGGAGACTTTAGCACCCCACTTTCAATATTAGACACATCAATGAGACAGAAAATAAACAGGATATTCAAGACTTGAACTCGGCTCCAGACCAAGTGGATCTAATAGACATTTACAGAACCCTCCACCCCAAATCAACAGAATATACATTATTCTTAGCACAACTTCGCACTTATTCTAAAATTGACCACATAATTGGAAATAAAACACTCCTCAGCCAATGCAAAAGAATGGAAATCATAACAGTCTCTCAGACCACAGTGCAATCAAATTAGAACTCAGGATTAAGAAACACACTCAAAACTGTACAACTACATAGACACTGAACAACCTGCTCCTCAGTGACTACTAGGTAAATAACGAAATGAAGGCAGAAATAAATAAGTTACTTAAAACCAATGAGAACAAAGACACAACATACCAGAAACTCTGGGAGACAGCTAAAGCAGTGTTTACAGGGAAATTTATAGCACTAAAAGCCCACAAGAGAAAGCAGGAAAGATCTAAAATCGACACCCTAACATCACAAGTAAAAGAACTACAGAAGCAAGAGCAAACAAATTCAAAAGCTAGCAGAAGACAAGAAATAACTAAGATCAGAGCAGAACTGAAGGAGATAGAGACACAAAAAACCCTTCAAAAAATCAATGAATCTAGGAGATGGCTTTTTGAAAAGATTCACAAAATAGCCCACTAGCCAGACTAATAAAGAAAAAAGAAGAATCAAACAGACACAATAAAAAATGATAGAGGGGAGATAACCACTGATCCCACAGAAATACAAACTACCATCAGAGAACACTATAAACACTTATATGCAAATAAGCTAGAAAATCTAGAAGAAATGGATACATTCCTGGACACATACACCCTCCCAAGACTAAACCAGGAAGAAGTTGAATCCCTGAATAGACCAATAACAAGTTCTGAAATTGAGGCAGTAATTAATTGTCTACCAAACAAAAAAGCCCAAGACCAGATGGATTCACAGCCAAATTCTACCAGAGGTACAAAGAGGAGTTGGTGCCATTCCTTCTGAAACTATTCCAAACAAAAGAAAAAGAGGGACTCCTCCATAACTCATTTTATGAGGCCAGCATCATCTTGATAACAAAACCTGGCAGAGACACAACAAAAAAAGAAAATTTCAGGCCAATCTCTCCCTGATGAACATCGATGTGAAAATCCTCAATAAAATACTGGCAAACCCAATCCAGCAGCACATCAAAAAGCTTATCCACTATGATCAAGTCAGCTTCATCCCTGGGATGCGAGGCTGGTTCAACACATGCAAATCAATAAACATAATCCATCACATAAACAGAACCAATGACAAAAACCACATGATTATCTCAATAGTTGCAGAAAAGGCCTTCAATAAAATTCAACACCCCTTCATGCTAAAAACTCTGAATAAACTACGTATTGATGGAATGTATCTCAAAATAATAAGACCTATTTATGACAAACCCACAGCCAATATCATACTGAATGGGCAAAAGCTGGAAGCATTCCCTTTGAAAACTGGCACAACACAAGGATGCCCTCTCTCACCACTCCTATTCAACATAGAATTGGAAGTTCTAGCCAGGGCAATCAGGCAAGAGAAATAAATAAAGGGTATTCAAATAGAAAGAGAGGAAGTCCAATTGTCTCTGTTTGCAGATGACGTAATTGTATATTTAGAAAACCCCATCTCAGCCCAAAATCTCCTCAAGCTGATAAGCAACTTTGGCGAAGTCTCAGGATACAAAATCAATGTGCAAAAATTGCAAGCATTTCTATGCGCCATAATAGACAAACAGAGAGCCAAATCATGGGTGAACTCCCATTCACAATTGTACAAAGAGAATAAAATACCTAGAAATACAACTTACAAGACACATGAAGGACCTCTTCAAGGAGAACTACAAACCACTGCTCAAGGAAATAAGGGAGGAGATAAACAAATGGAAAAACATTCCATGCTCACGGATAGGAAGAATCAATGTTGTGAAAGTGGCCATACTACCCAAAGTAATTGATAGATTCAATGCTATCCCCATCAAGCTACTGTTGACTTTCTTCCCAGAATTAGCAAAAACTTCTTTAAATTTCATATGGAACCAAAATGAGCTCATATAACCAAGACAATTCTAAGCAAGAAGAACAAAGCTGGAGGCATCACTCTACCTGACTTTAAACTATACTACAAGGCTACAGCAACCAAAACAGCATGGTACTGGTACCAAAACATATATATAGACCAATGGAACAGAACAGAGGCCTCAGAAATAATGCCACACATATATAACCAGCTGGTCTTTGATAAACCTGACAAAAACAAGCAATGGGGAAAGACTCCCTGTTTAATAAATGGTGTTGGGAAAACTGGCTAGCCGTATGCAGAAAACTGAAACTGGACACCTTCTTTACACATTATACAAAATTAACTCAAGATGGATTAAAGATATAAATGAAAGACCTAAAACCATAAAAAACCCTAAAAGAAAACCTGGCAATACCATTCAGGACACAGGCATGGGCAAAGACTTCATGACTAAAACACCAAAAGCGATGGTAACAAATCCAAAATTGACAAATGGGATCTAGTTAAACTATGGAGCTTCTGCACAGCAAAAAAATTACATCAGAGTAAATAGGCAACCTCCAGAATGGGAGAAAATTTTTGCAATCTATCTATCTGACAAAGGGCTAATATTCAGAATCTACACAGAACTTAAACAAATTTAAAAGAAAAAACAACCAATCAAAAAGTGGGTAACACTTCTCAAAAGAAGACATTTCAGCAGCCTACCAACATATGAAAAAAAGCTCATCATCACTGGTCATTACAGAAATGCAAATCAAAACCACAATGAGATACTATCTCACACCAGTTAGAATGGCATTCATTACAAAGTCAGGAAACCACAGATGCTGGAGAGGATGTGGGAAAATAGGAATGCTTTTACACTGTTGGTGGGACTGTAAACTAGTTCAACCATTGTGGAAGTCAGTGTGACAATTCCTCAGGGATCTAGAACTAGAAATACCATTTGACCCAGCCATCCCATTACTGGGTATATACCCAAAGGACTATAAATCATGCTGCTATAAAGACACATGCACACGTATGTTTATTGTGGCACTATTCACAATAGCAAAGACTTGGAACCAACCCAAATGTCCAACAATGATAGACTGGATTAAGAAAATGTGGCACATATACACCATGGAATACTATGCAGCCATAAAAAATGATGAGTTCATGTCCCTTGTAGGGACATGGATGAAATTGGACATCATCATTCTCAGTAAACTATCGCAAGAACAAAAATGAGCAGCAAGATTGAAGCCACAATTTTAGAAAAAATCTCCCAGCAAAGAAAAGCCCAGGGCCAGAGGATTCACAGCTGAATTCTATCAAACACACAAAGAAGAATTAATACCAATCCCCCTTAAACTAGTTCAAAAAAATCAAGGAGAAGGAAATTTCCCCTAACTTATTCTACAAGGCCAGTTTCACCCTGATATCAAATACAGACTAGGACACAACAAAAAAGAAAACTACATACCAATATCCCTGATGAACACTAACACAAAAATTCTCAATAAAATACTGATGAACTGAATGCAACAGCACACCAGAAAGGTATCTTGGAGAATGTTCTATGTGCTGATGAAAACAACATCAGAAAGATAATACACCACAATCAAGGAGATTTTACACCAAGAATGTAAGGATGGTCTGACATATGCAAATCAATAAATCTGGTACATCATATCAATAGAATGAAGGACAAAAATCATATGGTCAAACCAAATGATGCTTGAAAAGCATTTGATAAAATTTAACATACCTTCATGATAAAAATGCTCAACAAACATACCTCAAAATCATAAATGCCATATACAATAAACCCATGGCTAACATCATACTGAATGGGGAAACATTGAAAGCTTTTCCTCTGTGAACTGGAACACAGTAAGAATGCTCACATTCACCATGCTTATTCAACATATTACTGGAAGTGCTACCCAGAGCAATCAGGCTAGAGAAACAAATAAGAAGCACCCACATTGGAAAAAAAAAAATCAAACTGTCCCTCTCTGCTGATGATATTATCTTATATCTAGAAAACCCTAAAGACTCCACCAAAAAAAATTTTTATTTGATAAATAAATCCAGTAAAGTTGTAGAATACAAAAATCAACATACAAAATCAATAGCATTTCTATTCACTGATAATGATCCAGCTGAGAAGAAGTTTTAAAAAGCAATCCCATTCACAATAACTACAAAAAGAGAATAAACCTAGGAATGAGTTTAACCAAGGAGGTGAAAGATCTCCACAAGGAAAACTACAAAGCACAGATGAGAAATAAATTGAAAATGATACAAACAAACAGAAAAACATAACATGCTGATAGATCAGAAGAATTAATATTGTTCAAATGACCCAAAGCAATCTAGAGTCAATGCAATTCCTGTCAAAATACCAATGTCATGTTTTACAGTAAGAAAAAACAATCCTAACATACATATGGAACCAAAAAAGTGCCCAAATAGCCAAAGCAATCCTGAGAAAAAGTACAAACCTGGAGGCATCACATTACCTGACTTCAAATTATATTACAAAGCTAGTAACAAAAACAGCATGTACTTCTAAAAACAGACACATAGATCAATGTAATAGAATAGAGAACTGAGAAATAACATCACATATTTACAGCCAACAAATCTTTGACAAGCACACAAGAACATACATTAGGGAAAGAACACTCTCTTCAGTAAAAGGTGCTAGAAAAATTGCATAGCAATATGCAGCAGAATGAAACTGGACCCATATCTCTCACCACATAAAAAAATCAATTCAAGATGGACTAAAGACTTAAATGTGAGACCCAAAACTATAAAAATATGAGAAGAAAACTTAGAGAAAACTCTTCTGGACATTGAGCTAAGTAACCAAAAAATGTATGACTAAGACCTCAAAAGCACAGGCAAAAAAAGATAAATGGGACTATGTAGGTCTGTTCTTGTGT